>NC_000001.11:57887168-58038683 GCF_000001405.40 Homo sapiens | reverse complement strand
GGGCTCTGTTTCACCTGCAGTTTTTAAATCCTGGCCCCAATAACACCCCATCAGGGCAGGTCTCTCTTTAAGTGCCAGTTGCATGCTTTGGATTTGGTAAAAAAAGGAGCTTATTAAACCCAGGTGAGAGGAAGCCCTGGTGAAGAACCACGGTCATGGCTGAGTGCTCAGTTGGTAACCGCTGATTCACAAATGTTTCCTTTTCTCTTTCCTTTAAAAAAGGCAAGAGAAATTATGTGACAGGAACCAAGATAGTACTACAGGTTTGTTTTCTAATCAAGTACCTAGATAACAAGGTGATCTGTACGTTGTGTGGAGGCTGTTTAGTTGCCAATCCAGAACCAAAGAGTCAAGCTGAATTCCTTCCACTCTTCCATCCCCACATCCAGTCCATTATCAAGTTTTCTCCTTTCCACCCAAAATGTGTCCTGGAATGCCCATACTCAACTCCTTCCACCTAAGTCTGAGAAGCCACATCAATTGTCTCCTATACTTTTACAAGAATATTTTCATGGGTCTCCTCATTTTGGTTTTTGCCCCCTCTAATTCATTTTCCATAAGAGGGCCATATATTCATTTTAAAATATAAAAGATATCAAGTCAGTCTTCTGCTTAATGGCTTTTTATAGTGTATTAGTTAGGGTAGGCTAACTACTGTAGCAAAGGGACTCCAAAATTTATAATGGCTCATACACAATGGTTATGACTTGAATTAGTGAGTAGATCAACAGGGCTGCCTCTCTCTAAGGAGTCATTCAGGGCCATTAACACCTAGCTTAAAAACCATCCCAAGTCAGATTTCCTGGAAGCTGACCCTGAAACTGAGACTGATATGAACCTGATCTATTAGGAAGCTTTCCCAGGAAAAACTGCACAGAAGTACAGAGTGGGGTGAGGAAAGGAAGGAAGGTAAGCAAGGGTGTGGTACCAACTAAAGCCCCACAGAGGTAACTTTAGCCTAATCCCATAAGGCAGCAGTCCCCAGCCTTTTTTGGCACCAGGGACTGGTTTTGTGGAAGACAGTTTTTCCATGGAGCAGGGTGGGGGTGGAAGGGTGGGGATGGTTTTGGGATGAAACTGTTCCACCTCAGATCAATCTCAATCAGGCATCAAATTCTCATAAGGAGCATGCAACCTAGATTCCTCACATGCACAGTTCACAATGGAGTTCCCACTCCTGTAAGAATCTAATGCCACTGCTGATCTAACAGGAGGCAGAGCTCAGGTGGTAATGCTCGGCTGCCACTCATCTCCTGCTGTGCAGCCCAGTTCCTAACTGGCCACAGACTAGTATTCATCCACAGCCCAGGGGTTGGGGACCCCTGCCGTAAGGGAAGATCTGGAGGCAGCATAGACCCCGCCTCAGAGCTATCCTCATCAGAAAAAGGGAGTAAGAGCATTTAAGCTCATGCCTGCCATGCATTGGTTAAGGTCTGCCTCTAAGGATAAATACCCTCCCAGGTGCCTCTAGAAATCTGTGTGTGCAGGCAAAGGGGGTTCTGATACCCTGAGTGCATTCTGATAAGGGGATGCAGGTGCTAGCCTTTGGGGGAGAGACAATACGTGGAGTCAGTGTGCAGGAAAATGATAGCGGTCTAAGGGAAGATGGGAGGAGTACTGACAGCAACAGCTACACAAAGGCATCCTAGGGTCTTCATTCTAGTGGGAAGGAGCAGGCAAGGGAAGCTGAAATGGGCCATGCTCAGAATCATATTCCATTGACTAGAAGTCAACTAATGATTGATCCCTTAACCAATGCAAGGCAGGCACATGGCCATACACAACTGCAAGAGAAGTTGGGAAATGTAATCCATCTGTGTATCTAGGGAGAAGAAGATAATCTAGGCTTCTTGCCACAAATAGCCTCTCTTAATACTTGAATAAAACTGTAACCTCCCTACAGGGTCTTCCAAGTCTCCACATGTCTGGCCTCTACCTACCTCTCCATCTCTGTCACCTGCTGCTCCCTCTGTACCTCTGCCTCCACTCTCACCGTATTTTAGCTGTACTTATAGACTGTTTTATCATATGCTGGGCTTTACTACCACAGACTCTCGAAAAAAAATTAGTAGAAGGCTGCAGGTCTAGAATTGCAATACTACTGTTATGATGATAAAAGTATTAATTTGACTTTTGAATAAAGGCCTTTGGTGGATTGTGATAAAGTAGATAATGAAACAGCTGGTCCCATTTAGTGGCGACTATAAGAACTAGAACTTAGCCTCCAATAAGCTCACAGAAAGAGGAGAGCTAGATCTCCCTGTGGGCAGCCCAGAGTGGCAGGGCACGCTCAACCAGCTGTATCATTGCTATTCCAAGTGCAGAACCCACGGGCCCTGGGCTCTCCCTTATTACCAACTGCCAGCATGACCTTGGGCAAGTTGTTAACCTAGATGTGCCTCAGTTTCATCTTCTGTAAAGGAGGGCTAATAATTGTTCCACATTCACGGAGTCATTGTGAAGAGCAAATGAATTAATACAATAGAGCTTAGATCAGTCCCTGGCATAGGCTAAGCACTTTAGTAAATGCTATTATTACTATTAGAGGACCTGCAGGCTACACAAACAACTTCCTACCCCGGTTTCCCGACCATCTCACTTACCATGCTATCCTGTTAGTGACTTTTTTTTCCCTCATTCCTATAGCCCCACCCCAGGCTAAGTGGGGTTTGGAGACAACCAATTAAATCAAGCTCCTATTTAACATCAACCGTACACGGATGTGCATCTTCCTGATCATGAGACACAATTTGAAGTCAAAGAACCAAAGGTCTATCTGTAAGCAGCCCTTCAAGCTGAGATAGTGAAAGTGCCCTATCTCGGGTTTTTCCCAAAGCTGCAGTTTTCCTTAGGCTCCTGGAGAATAGACCTCAAGTCTCCCCATAGGCCGGGGGTTGTTTACAACTGGCTTTTCTTTTATCCTGCCAGTCCTGGGCTGATGCTGCCTTTGATTGTACATCTCACAACTCCAGGGGGAGCCATTCTCTTAGACTACATAGTCTCCAATCATGGCCCTGAACCATGCACTATCTTGCTATCTCAGTGTTTCTTGTGAAGTACACATGTTTTAGATTAATAAACAATTTGGATGTGAATTCTGATGCATTTGCTATTTGTGTGACATTGTATAAATTAACCTATCCTCTTTGGGCCTCAGTTTCCTCATCTGCAATGGGGTGGTAATATTCATTCCATGTAGTTGGTGTTGTAAGGATTGTAATGGAGTACAGGTGAAAAGCCTAGCTAACTGCCTGATGACATCTTAGTCCCCTGGAGTTTGGTCGTCCATTGCTGTGTAACAAATTGCCCTAACAGTTAGTGGCTTTACAGCAAAAAACTGTTTATCTGCTTGTGATTCCGCAATTAAGGGAGGGCCCGTTGGGCATAGCTCTTATTGTTCCAGGTGGTGGTGTTTGGGGTAGCTCACCTGGGGTTGGAGGATCTAAAATAGCTTCTTTCACTTGGCTGGTGCTGCAGCTGGGGTGGCAGGAACTACTAGGTGTTGGCTGGGCTTGCTCTCTCTTTCTGCCTCTCTGTCGCTCACTGTAGTATCTCACCTCCAGCAGCCCGTTTCTCTCCACATGGGCTTTCTCTTCAGCAGGTGATCAGAATTCTTAACATGGTGTCTCAGAACTCCCAAGAGTGCAAAAATAAATTCCACCAAAGTCTAAAGACAGGGTGTTACTTCTGCTACATTCTATTGGTCAAAACAAGACACAGGTTCGAGGGGAAGAGACGTAGACTCTCCCACTTGAGAGGAGAAGCAGCATGCACATACATGGATGGAAGGAATCGTTGATGGCTGTTTTGCAGATAATCCATCATGCTCAGTAAATGACAACCTCGGTTTTCATTCTTTTTGGATTTTAGAAGGGGGAAGAGGGTAGGTGGCTGCAAAACCAAATTGACTTTTAGCCAAAAAGCCCTAAGGACCAGGAAGACTCAGATCAGTGAGACAGAGTAATTCCCATTGCATTTCTCCTTTGGGATGGGAAGAAATCATTTCTGAGCTAACTGCTACTAGAACTATAACCTAGAAATATTTGATCCTTTTTTGTTTCCTTTCTGATTTTCCAATTCGAACTCACCTTCTACACGATCTGGCAGACTGGAACCAGAAACAGGTTACTGATATTTAGAGAAACATCTATATTTGTTATCTATTATTGCACAGCAAGTTACCCCAAAACTTCATGGCTTAAAGTGACAACATTTTGTATCTCACAATTTCTGTAAGTCAGGAATCTGGAGTGAACTTACCTGGAGCCTCTGGCTCAGGCTGCAATATTAGTCAGGGCTGCAGTTATCCCACAGTCTGCCTGGGGCAGAATCCTCTTTCAAGATCCCTTACTTGTTATTGGGAGAGTTCCACTCCTGGCAGGCATTTGGACTGAGGGCTCGGTTCCTCTGGCTGTTGGCTAGAGGTTTCCCTCAGTTCTTTAGCACAAAGACCTCTTCGTAGGAGCAGTTCAAATATGGTAACCAGCTTTATCCGAGCAAGCGAGCAACAGAGCCAGAGAGTGAGAGAGTGACTGCTAGCGAAACAGAAGTCATACGCTCTTTTCTAACTAACAAGATAATAATTGCTGAAGCAACATCCTGTCATTTTTGCTGTATTCTATTTGTTAGAAGCAAGTCACTACAATCAAGGGTAGGCAGATTATGTCATGACACAAATACCAGGTGGCAAGATCACTGGTGGCCGTTCTAGAATTACAACTCTCGCCACTCCTTTCAGCAAGTTCAGAGTCCTCAAATTTCACTTCATCCCTGGATATCATAGCACTATGCATGGGTTATAATCAGGGTGGCTATGTGTCCTAGTGTAACTGGAATAGGTGCAATTTAGATAACCTAAAAAAAAAGATGATTCTAAGTGTAGAGGAACAATGCCTTGTTTATAAAAAATATCAGCAGAAATTTTGTTCATCTTCAAAATGTAGAGTAGTATGCTTAGGAAAATTTAATGTCACTCTTAATTAATCTACTCAACAAATATTTATACAGTACTTTCTAAATGCTGGAGCTGTAAAGTACAGTAAAAATAGTATCACTACCTTTGAAGAAGTCAGATGAGAACTTGAACACTAGTAGTATTGTATCAGAAATATTGTGAGAGGGAAACACAAAGTGGCCCTTTGATTGAGTTTTGAAGGATGCATAGGAATTTGCTGGATGAAGAATGTTTTAGTCATATTCCCGATAGGAAACAGCACATTCAAAACAGGGTAAGTGATAGAAGATTTATTTCCAAAGATGAGGGCATAAGGAAACCATAAGGAACCGTGAAGTTGTATGGTGCTTATCTGATAGCAGCCAGGCTGGTATCAGATAAGTGGGATGAAAGGACACTGAACTGATTACAATCCAGACAGTGAGAGTCCTGTAGTGAGGGGCTTCTTGAGACAGAAGGATCTTCTGTAGAGGAATACAGCCAGCTTGTGCAAACTTTGTAGGAAGGACTTGAGGGAATAAATACTCTGATCTCACTGTCCACTTTCTCTTTAATCCCCTGACAAATCCATCTGGAGAGCAGAGGACCTGGGAACCCATATTGTATCCCATTCAGAACAGCCTCCAGGAGCACAGGGCAGAATGGAGAAGGGTGAAGGTGGTTCTGGAGGGACAAATAAAGCTATCCAACACAAAGGCACCAGGCACGCCCATTCCAGAGAAAGGGACCAGAGTGAATTCAGGGAGTTGTGAAATGTCCTGATGACTTTGGACTGATGAATGTGACCTGAAACAGGAGAAAGATCAGATCAGGAAGAGGGAGCTGAGGGCAGAGAAGTAGGCAGGGGCCAGGCTATGAGAGGCTCCCTGAGTCTTTTGTAAAATTGTCCTATCAACCCTGCCAGTTTATGCCCACCATGCCAAGTTGTGCTAAAGAGCTTGGATTTCACCCTGAAGGTAGTGTGGACACAAAGATAACTTTTTAGCTAGGCATGTGCATTGTGGGCCAGGTGGCTACACAGTGAAGGGTGGATTGGAAGGGGCATGGTTTAGAGTCCAGCTCTGCCTACTGCTTTAGGACTTTGCACTTTAACCTCTCTGGATCCTAGTTTCCTGGCTCGTGAAACACAGATGACAACTCCTGCTGGCTGACATGGGGATTAGATGGGATAGACATTTATAAAATACCAAACACTCAACATGGCATGTGGGGTTATTTGTACACAGATCAACAATTGGTTTTGATGGGGAATTCAAAAACTTTGGGCACTCCCCACCCAAGTGCCAGGCATTGTGCTTGAATGCTTTACATTTGATATTCCATTCAATCCATGCAACAGCTTTTGAGATAGCTATTATCTCAATTTACAGAACAGGAAACAAAGGCTTATTTTTATTACCTGTTATGTGCCATACACTGTGCCTGAGGATTATGAAGGTGAGTAAGAAGACATGGTCCTGGCCCTTAAGAAATCCTAATTATGGATGCTAAGGTCATTTAGATTGGTGCTCCTCAAATTATAATGTGCATATGCATTGCTCACCTGGCGTCTTGTTAAAATGCAGATTCCAACTCACTAGCACTAGGGTCTGGCTGGAGGTTCTGCATTCCTAGCCCTCTCCCAGATGATGCAGATACTGCTTGTCCATAGACCACACTTTGAGAAGCAGAGTTTAGAAGGTCAGATTAAACACACACACACACACACACACACACACACACACACACACACACACACACGTTTCTATCAGTACTTGCAGCTGTGATAAAATGGAGCAAAGGGAAGATTTTTTTTTTTACAATTTCAACCTTAGGAAATGAGGGTATAGAAGGGAAACACCGTGCACTTGAGTATTTGGCTGAATAGCAGTTACTAAGGCAGGGCTTTCTGCTCCAGAGTCTAAACCTTCCTCAGCTCAGTTTGGGCTGAGCAGGATATTGTTTTTCTGCCCCTTGGATATATCCCATTATGAGCTTTGATCAAAGCAAACCTTTCCCTTTGAGGCTTAGGGCACATGTTAATAGCTTTGTTATTCGCATGTATCTGCATATATTTGCAAAGCAATTCAGCTTCCTCTGAGAGGGAGAAGGGATACAGGGGCTGGTGGCTGAGCCCAGGGTTTAAGCATTTGTGTAATAGTTGGTCCTTAGCATCTCAAAGGAAATCTGGCAGCTGAGGGCTGAAGCCATCCTGGCGATGGAAGAAACTAAGAGCTGAGTTTCCAGCTGCTTCTCCGGTTAAACGTTCATGCCTGTTCACTGAAGATTCTTATTTCAGGTCCTGCCTCTCTTTTTTCCCATCCGTTTTACCTATTACTGCCCAAACATCTTCTTAAAGATTTCTCTGAACAGATCACTTTCCCACTCAAAGACTTTCCACAGTTCTGCTTCATCTACTGAAGAACGCAAATCTTAACATTCAAAACTCTCCCCACATAACCCGGTCCCAATGCATTACTTCAGCCTTGCCTCCATGCTTCCATTCAGCCTCCCTGCTTCCCTTCTGTCTCCGTGCTCTGGCCAAATTGAAGCATTTTTTTGTTCTGTAAGCCACATACATATTCACATTCAGGACTTAGCTCATGTCATTAGCTCATGTATCAGTTTGTGATACCTTCTCTCCACTTTGTTCACTCATGCCCAAATTGTGCTCAACCTTCAAAACCCAGCTCAAATCCCCCCTCCATCCAGGAAGACATCTTTGAACTTCCTACCTGGAGAAGAACTTCGTACCTGGAGAAGTTCTTCCTGCTTAGGAACTCCCTTAACATTTTATCCACACCTTTCTTATTGTATAAAGTCCTTCATTTGTTTATGTATTAGGACCATCACCAGTTATTGCATGTCTTGAAGGCCGTCCATGCCTAGTCATATGTATGTATAGTAAGTGGTTCATACATTTTTGAATGATTGTATGTATGAATGAAAGGCTGATGTCTGCTGACCTGTGATTGTGAGGCAGCCTATTTCCATATGTGTTCACTCTTTCAATACGTTTTTATTGAACTCCTGCTCTCTTGCAGGCACAAGGCTCTGGCAGTACAAAGGTGAATAGAGGAAAACCCGGGCCCCACCCCAGGGGCTTTTCTGAGGATGGGGCCATCTCATGTTCTTTGTGTAGTTAAGTTGGCTGCACTCCAGCTAGTTGCTTAATAATAAGTGATTTGAAAAATCTGAAAACATCTGATATTTTTACAGATCAGTGACCGGTTAGATGAACAGGCTAAATCTTGTTTAATCTGTGGCTCTGTTCATCAAAGCACTCTTTTGAGTGTGGAGCTTGATAGCAAATTGGATTGTACTTTCATTGTACTGTTTGCCTCCTCACCTTAAAAATAATAGTATATGCTTGTTGTGGAAACCTTGGAAATAAAAAATAAATACAAATTACTCAAAATTTCCCAAACAAGAAATCAATCATTGTTAATATTTAACACATTTCTTTTCAGTATTTTTGTTTCTTTGCTTGTTTTTAGTAATATGCACACAGTTTGATTCATACTTTTATTTATTTATTTTTTTAGAGATGGAGTCTCACTCTGTCACCCAGGCTGGAGTGTGGTGGTGCGATCTCGGCTCACTGCAACCTCTGCCTCCCAGGTTCAAGCAATTCTCCCTGCCTCAGCCTCCCGAGTAGCTGGGATTACAGGCACCTGCCACAACACCTGGCTAATTTTTGTATTTTTAGTAGAGACGGGGTTTCACCTTGTTGGCCAGGTTGGTCTCGAACTCCTGGACTCAAGTGATCTGCCCGTCTCAGCCTCCCAAAGTCCCAGGATTATAGTCATGAGCCACTGCACCTGGACGATTCATACTTTTTGTATCCTGTGTTTATTTATTTATTTTTTTACTAAGATTACACTTTGACTATTTTCCAATATTATTAAACATTATTTAAAATAATTTTTATTTACACTTACTTTTTTATTGTATGGCTATAGCATAATATTTAAAGCAAATACCCATTATTTATTGAAGCTAAAATTGGGAAATAGCTACATTATGAACAACTTTATGCATCAATATTTTTCCTCATCTGATCATTTTATTAGCATTCTTGAAGTGTCATTAGTCAGTTAAAGTCTGTGAACATTTTTAAGTCCTTTCTGTCTTTACTGATTCTTTTTATCAGAGATGGTTAATTCTTCAAATTCTATGTTGGATGAGTCTGGCCTCTTTTGTAATTAACATGGTGCCTGTGGGCTCCCAGCCCCCTCCCCTTTTAAGGTACAGCTATAACTTCAAGATTGTTTTTGAGACAACACCCCTGTTCGTCAATATCCGCACTGCTGGATAATGCTGCTGTGTTGATTTTTTTGTGGCCCTGGGTGGCAGATTTTTGTAACAGCAACTGTAAGTGGACTTGACATCAGAAGCATTTTTTTAGTGCATCCAACCTGCATTTTGATCTTTTAACTAAAATATACTGTAAGTACTTCTTTTGCTCTCAGAACCCTGAAAGAGCAATCCCACTGAGGCTGCATTGAATTAGCCTGAATCACTAGCTTGTCGTTGCTTGCTGGGATAAGGGCTACCCAGACACTAACCTCTCAAGGTCTGATTTTTAACTTGGTCTCTTTCTACTGTGGGAGAATGAGGGAGTTCATTATAGTTGGTCTTAGTGTTAGATAGTATAACCTCACTGTAATTGAACCTTCTTATAACAACCCTTTATGTTTGTATGATGCTCTGTGGTTTAAAAAGCACCTTCAAGATGCTTAATTTGATCCTCACCATCTTTCTGTGAGGTAGCCGTTCATACCACTTCTGTTTCCTAGGATAACCAGACATGGAGGGGGTACTGTGTTAATAATAGAAATAACATGGGTCTTTGGATGGAGACATATCTACCCAGTTTCAACTCAACTTAACCACTATGCAGTTGTATGACATAAATTCTTTCAGCCTCAGATTCCTCGTCTGTGAAGAGAATAGTACAGTTGATTCTTATTATTTGCAGATTCCACATTTGCAAATTTGACTACTCACTAAAATTTATTTGTAACCCCAAAATCAGTACTCATAGTGCTTTTATGGTCATCGACAGACATACACAAAATGGCAAAAACTTTGAGTCACCTGACATGTGTGTTCTCAGCTGAGGTTGTACAAAGTGATGTTCTCTGCCTTCTTGTTTGAGCCCTCTTACTATGAACAAGCATCCTTTTGGTGGTCATAGGTTTAGCATTTTTTTGTGATTTTTGTTGGTAATTTCACTGTTTAACATGGCCGCTAGACATAGTACTGAAGCTGCCTGGTGTTCCTAAGACAAGACACTCCAATTTTTCATAAAACACATGGGGTATGCTTTATGGAGAAAATACATGAGTTAGATAAGCTTCATTCAGGCATGAGTTATAGTGCTGCTGGCTATGAGTTCAATGTTAATGAATCAACAAAATATATGAAGTAAGATGTCTTTAAACAGAAACACATAAAACAATGTTACGTATTGATCAGTTGATGAAAATGTTTTGACCAGAGCCTTGCAGGAACATGACCCTGTGTTTCCCCTAGGAGCAATGGTTCGGTATTTGTGAAACTTTATAGAACATAGCTACTGCAGATAATAATCAACTGTGCCTATCTTGTAGGATAGCTGCATATATTAAGTGAGGATGTGTGTAAAATACCTAGTGTATTGATGTTCTATGATGGGAATTATATTCTACAGATAAGGAAACAGAAGCTCAGAGAAATGAGCTACCTTATTTAAATTTATTAGACCAGAAAATGGCCTGAGTTAGTAGCATATAAACTTAGACTTGTGTGAATCTAAACCCAGCAGTCCTCAAAGCATGCAGGCTATATCTAGGAGGAATTCCACATAGGGGAATTAAATGCTTAATTCTTTCTGCATTTGCTCCTTATTTCTAGGTTTCATCTATATGGCTGAATTCTGGAAAACCTATTTAAACACCCATTATTATGATTTTTTTGTCAGGCCCAGTGCTAACCTCATGCCATCTGGTATCTTTTTTTCATCATGCAATGATCCTGTAAGATAGAAATTATTATTGTTGTTGCCATTTTAGAGACTCCGAGAAGTTAAATAAATAGCTCAAAGTCACACAAATTGGAAGAAGAACAAAGCAGGCAACCCAGGTCTTTCTGGCTCTAGAGCCTCTTTCCTCAACCCTAATATCAAAGAGCCCCAAACTTTTGAGAATTTCATAGACTAGCAAAATAACCAACACCCCAAAATTGTGCAGAAGGACAGAAAGTATGTCAACTTTTATTTATCTAGGTGAGGACACTAAAGAAACAAGTCAGCCACTGACTATCATTATTATGTTATAAAGAAAATTAACTTTAATATTATAAAAGTATGAAGAACTTAACCTCAGATTTTAAAAAATCCAATCAAGGCTGGGCATGCTCATGCCTGTAATCCCAGCACTTTGGGAGGCTGAGGCAAGAGATCCCTTGAAGCCAGGAGTTTGAGACCAGCCTGGTCAATAAAGTGAGACCCTGTCTCTATATACATTTAAAAAATCCAATCCACTTTGCTTTTATAAAAACCTCATAATATTGTCTTCCTTTTTCACATTTCTCCCAGAAAAGGACTGTCTTTGTCATAGACATCATGGTCTTTGGCAACCCCAGCTCTGTACTTTATTATAAGTTATTTCTACTGATCTGGGCCTGAGCCTTGTCACAGGGCAGTGGTTTTTATCTAATGGTATTTAAGATCACTTTTCAAAATTCCAAGGGTGGTTTTAGAGTTTCCAGGCCTGGGCCAAGATTTGGTCCATTTGTCCTTCTACCACAGAGTCAAAGAGAAGATTAGGCTCATGTGCAATAGCTGTCAGGTCAACTGTCCCTGGTCTGTCAGGCTTTCCCTGGACAGGTGCAGGCACCTGGCAAATTGACCTCCAGAAAAAGAATGAATGCTTAGTGGTGACAAATGAGTTGCTTTAACTATTGGGAAACAGAGCATATACACAAATCTCCCATGGATCTATATTCCTTAAGGGACTGCATCAGGGAAAGGAGCAACCCATGAAAGACAAAGGCATAACTCTGGCTTTTTCTTCCTCTGAGATGGATGCCCTTCAGAAATGGAAATGGCCCACAAGATAAGTTAGCTTGAGGATTCTTCCACTTTTCTTTGCACCCATAAATCAGGAGTCTTCTATTTCTAGGACTATACTCACTGGGTTAAACATTAATAAAATAATAAGGGAGCACCAATAACAAGTATAGCTTATTCAATAGTTTATATGATGCATCCCGATGATGTACTAAGTTCTTAGCATAGTTAATCCCCATAACAGCCTTATGAGATTGATACCATCACCATCCTCACTCAGGGATGAAAAAATGGAGATACTGAAGTCTTAATAATGTGACCCTCTTATCATTAATAAGTAGGAGAGATGGAAATGGAGCCTAGATTGAAACCTCTTGCTTCTAAACAATGCACTGTGCTGCTCAGCCTACACTCTATGCCTTCTTGCGATATTCTTTCCATGTTTGTAACCAAATGTCCAACTTTTAAATTTTTTCCTTTTGGTAACTGTGTAGGAAATATCAGCCTGCATCAATTCATTGAATGCGTATGAACCTTACTTTGTGTCAGATTCAGAGCTCTAGGTACAAGCACTTGCAGCATGTAGCTTGATTTTTGAGAAGTCCCTATTCTTGAGGGAGACAAGCACACAAATGGCTGTGATATAAAGCAATATATTAGAGAGCTATTAGAGAAGTTGCATGAGTAAAATGCCGTTTTAGTTAAAACTTGAAGGATGAGTGTTTGGGGTGACATGGCCCTCCAGGTGGAGGTGAGAACAAGAACAATGCACAGGGTCAGAAACTGGAACAAGCGCTCACTGGGGAGTTGGATTTAGGATGTATATGAATGAATGTGATGAGAGATGAGGCTGGAGACTTATCCAGGGGTCATAGTTTAGAGGGACTTGGATGCTATCTTAAGGAAATTGGATTTTATTGATAGTTAACAGGGGGACCCCAAAGACAGAGGAGGAATATGATCAGGGTTGAATTCAAAATAACTTTACTCTAAATTTATGATTAAAGGCCATATATATATATATATATATATATATATATATATACACACATATATATATAATATTATATTTATAACTCATCTACATTTAATAGGAGACAAGAGAAAGAAATAAAATATATGAAAGGCTCTCTCTCTATATATATATAATATTATATTTATAGCTCATCTACATTTAATAGGAGACAAGAGAAAGAAACAAAATCTATGAAGCTGAAGGGATGAAAGTTTAGAGATCAGACAGATCTTTGGTTTCTAGTTTTCTCAACCAAACCACTTAGTTGGGTGGTTCCTAAACATGGCTAATAAGTTGAATTACTAGGAACCCTGTTAAAATCCAGATTTCCAGGTTCTGCCATCTTGAGGTACTGATTTAGAAGCTCTAATCTCTCAGGGCTGGGAATTGATGTTTTTAAAGCTGGCCAGCTGATTCTAATGACCACGAAAACACTTCCAGCAACATAAGATATTGTATTTAGAGAGTTATTTCTGAAGCCTCCCCAAAGAATGTTTATGTTGCTAGAGATGTATAAGGGGTTCTCCAGAGAAACAGAAACAGTAGGGTGTGTGTGTGTGTGTGAGTGTGTGAAAGAGAGAAAAAGGGAGTGAGGGAAGGAAGGAGGAGGGAAAGGGGAGAGAGAGAAGGACAAATAGATAGATAAATGGCCAGATAGGTGGAGAGATAGATGGTAGATAGACTTGTTATAAGGAATTGACTCATGCAATTATGGAGGCTGACAAGTCCCAAGATCTGAGGCAGCAGGTTGGGTACCCAAGATAGCTGCTGATTTAGTTCCAGTTCGAGTCCAAAGACAGAAATAAAAAATGATGCCTCAGGTGAAGGCAGTCAGGCAGAAAGAAATTCCTACTTACTCAGCCTTTTTGTTCTGTTCAGGTCTTCAACTGATTGGATGAGGCCCACACACATTAGAAAAGGCAATTTACTTTACTGTCTACCAATTCAAATGTTAATATCATCCAGAAACACCCTCACAGACACACCCAGAATAATGTTTGACCAAATGTTTGGGCACCTTGTGGCCAAGTTGACACATAAAATTAACCATCACAAGATAACCAGGACTTCATTATAACAGCATAATCCTTATGATAACAATGGTGATAAGAATCATCATTATCTATATTACTGTAGCCCATGACACAGTGGGTGTATAGAATGTTTGCAACTGAATGAGAGAAGCATGTTAGCATAGTTGTTTGTATTTTACTAAGTATTTTTCTTATCTGTTGTCTTATTTTATGCACACAATAACTCTGCTAAGCATTTGAAATAGATTTCATTATCTTTCATTTTTGAGATGGGTTGTTCAAGCTGCAAAGAGGTAAGCTAATTGTCCAAAGACACAGTGTAGATGACTCAGGCCAACTCAAACCCCGAGCTTCTTTTGTGATCTTTCCACTGTATGGCATTAGTTCATTGCATATTAATTACTGGCAAAGATACACAGGCCTTTATGTTGCCCTCTCCTGACCATCAGCAATTTTCTGATCTTATGACTATATCTATTGCTATATCTAAATGTAGGAGAGGGACAAATTAACAAGTGAAAATCAAGAGCTATGTTTGTACTTAATGCTACTAACAGGAAACATAATTACGAGAGAGCTGAGAGTGTTGCTTGACAAACAAATTAATAAAAAACTCTCATGCCACTCTCAAGGATAAATTACGCAGCAGAAAGCAAGAAGAGGCTGGGTTTGACAGTTGTGAGATAACAACCTTGAAATATATCTACATTACATGATAGGGCTTTGGAGGTCCAGCTTTTGGACTTAGAGGCTAAGCTAATGAACTGCCTTAATGTTCATATTTTTGCAGGATCCATCTAGATTTCTTTTAGGACCACGTTTACCACCTCTGGGAAAACTGCTTAGTTAGATGCTGGGTCCAAGGCAATTTATGTGTTTGATATGGTTAAACAAAATTGTCTAATAAGTCAGAAGTCATTAGATTAATATATCGTTGTTTATCTCACAACATTTTAAAATAAACTTGTAGGAAGAGACTTACATAAATTATTCTTATACTTCTATTATCCTTCCTAGTTCATTCATTTGACAATTATTTATTGGGTGGTAATCTTTGCTGAGAACTAGACTTGCAGAGACAAACCATAGTTCTTGCCTTCTAGTACCTCACCATTTTATACAGTGGTTCCCAACTCTGTCTGCGTATTAGATTACTGAAGAGAATTTAAAAATACCAATATCCACACCCCACCCCAGAGAACCTGATTCTTCTGATCTGGAATGCAGCCAGCCACTAGTAGTTTTTTAAAAGCTTTCCAGGTGATTTTAACACAGAGTCCCTGATCTGGTTGAAGAGACAATTATACAACCAGACATAATGCATTACTTTAAGCATTAGAAGAGGGATGTGTGTTTCTGGCTGTGGGCTGGGGGTGATAAATATTTCCAGAGAGGCTCTGGAAAGGCCTTACTAGAGCTGTTATTTTATATTTGGGGGTATTGGAGAGGTTTATTTTAAATTTTTTGTAAGATTTTATTGTATTATTTGAGCTGCATCTTAGAGCACGATAAATGAGCACAGAAGGGCAAAGAATGCCATGCAAAAGGTACAACATGTGTAAGGGCACTTGGGGAAAGGATCTCAGTGTCTTCACAGAATTTTCAAGTTGTTTAGTTGGACTGAAATGTTGAGTATGTGAATTATCATTAATCCTTCACACCATGTTTATTGAGGATCTATGCCATGTGAGGCATTGTGTTCAGTGCTCTTAGGGATTCAAAAATAAGACAAAAGGGATCTTACTCCCAGCAAACTCATAGGCTATTCAGAAAAATAAATAATGAATGATGATGGGATTGTTGGCGGTGATGATGATGAAGGTAATACAGTAACCGGAACTTAAAATTAAAACTTTGGCTAGATACAAAGATGTAATAGAAATGAAATTCCGAAGTGCAGTGCCAAATTATATTACGTAGTTTAGAGGAAATACTCATAAATATGAAAACATACAAAGGATAAGGATTTTGCTTTTACTGTAATTGATTTTATTTTAAGGGGACAGCAGGAAATTAAGGAGTAAATGTGTTTTAAACATACCGTGAGTCATGCCTTTCAGTCCACTGGTATCAATAGTGATAATAATAATAGGCAAACTCCAGGGAATTTAGAGGTCATTTAGTCTCATCCTCTATTGAAGTGCACAGTGGAAAAGGGACTTGCCTGAAGTTCCTGGAGGCAAATCTGTACTCAAACTCAGGTCTACTCTGCCAAAGCAAGATGCAACCTTCTGACTTGAATTTCCATAGGGACCAATGATCAGATTTGAACTTACCTTCCTGAGGCCTCACTTGAATCTCTCTAGCATCCCCACAGCATTGCCTTTGCATTTCTGTCTTGCATACTGAGAGTTAAGGAGGAGCTTCTGATACCTGTCAGTTGTCATTTCACCAGCTCATGAAGCTTGGAGGTCAGCTTTGTGCAATGGGTTGGCACTCAATGTCTTGGAAAGCCCTGGAGTAATGCTTTGGGGAAAAGTTAAGAGCAGCCAGATTCTCAAGGTACCTGGTGCTTTGAGGTTAGAGACTTGGCTTCTGAGGAAGGGTTTTATTAAGGGGTCTGCCCATGGGATCTGTCTAGGTTCCTCAGAGAGGGCAGCTAATAGCCTAAATTCTCTATCAAGATGAGGCCTTCTGCCAACTCCTTAGAAGCCATCCTTCCCAGATGGTCAGGAATAGCTTTATAAGAGGAAAAAGATAGTTTAAGCCACCTACTCTGTCTGTGGTTCCCAACCCCCTTCTGCTTCTGAACACAATGGCAGCCTCTCATCACATTCGCACCACCTCAACTTAATTGGATGCTTCCTATCACTTGGGATTGATCCAGATCATTCCCGGTTGCCCTTTCAGACCCACTGCTTCAGACTTTCATTTTACCTAATTTTCTAATCTTTCCCCTATACCACATCTACATTTACCTCCAGACTTCCATTCTCTTGGGCCAGTTCTGCTCTGACAATGCAAGCTGCCCTCTTGTCACCATCATCTGCTTTGGTTTTTGGGGGCCATATTCCATACTTGCCTCATTTTTCCAACTGTAGGTACTCATATGCTCACAGTCCTCTTATTTTTCCATGTAAGCAATTGGTCCACCATCTATTCTTATTAGTAGGAATTCCCTTATTTTCTTTTGGAAACATCCCTTTCTGGAGTTTTATTTGGAATATCTGGAGCTCTATCCAGGCTTTACCATTTGCTAGCCATGTGAATTTGAGCAAATTATTTAATCTTTAATCTTCAGTTTCCTCATCCATAAAATAGTGGTAATGAAGTAACTACCTTATACAGTTATTATTAAGAATTAAATGAGTCAATCTATAATAAGCATTTAGAATAGTGATGGCACATACTAAATGGTGATTTAGGTCATACGCACATGCTCAGCTTTTATGCCCAGTGCATGACGCCCACTCTAGGAAGACAAGGCCTGGAGGGACTTCCAGTGTCCACCCCATGCTGGGTTCAAACCAGTCTTTTCTCTAAGCCCTTAAGCTATGAATTTGCATTGAAGTCAGGTCACTAGTTCAAATTTTCCTTTTTCCTATGGTGACTTCACTTATGCAACACTTGCTTTCATTGGTTGACATAATTTGAGAACTAGCAGGGTCCAGGTCTTTTATTTTCTTTTTGGGTGCGGGGCGCAGGGTCTCACTCCAATGCCCAGGCTGGAGTGCAGGAGTACAGTGGCGTGATCTCTGCTCACTGAAACCTCCACCTCCTGGGTTCAAGTGATTCTCCTGCCTCAGCCTCGCAAGTAGCTGGGATTACAGGTGTGCGCCATCACCCCTGGCTAATTTTTGTATTTTTAGTAGAGATGGGGTTTCACTACATTGGCCAGGCTGGTCTCAAACTCCTGACCTCAAGTAATCCGCCCACTTCGGCCCCCAAAACATTGGGATTACAGGCGTGAGCCACCGCGCCTGGCTGGTCTTTTCTTCCTAAGAGGCTACTTGATTCTAGGCAGTTTTACACAACTTCTCATTGGGCATCAGCTCTGCGTATCAGGCCACCTTGGGAGAGGAAGACTTTTTTTTACAGAACCTGCTATACCTCTTTTTCTGAGAGGAACCATTCACAGAAGTCCTGATCTAAGTTGAAGTTGTCCATTTGTTGGAGAAATAGCTGGAATTTACCTTGGTTAAATCTGAATAATGATGAATTCATTCCATGAAGCATTCCATTACACAAAGTTTCTTGTGAAGTATCTCTGTCTTCAGCTTATTGTTTAGTGAGGAAGCTCAAAAATAGATTCTAAGCTCCTTACAGGAATTCCAGAGATAATGGCTGTTAAAAAGGAAGAAGAAAAAGTTATTTTAATGTATTGGTGGCCATAGCTTTATGTGTTTAAGCACTTCAGGTATTTAAGCACTTCCTTGAACACATGAAGTAAAAAGAAGAGAGCTCATTATTAAGTGAAGTAACCTAGCTTAATGTTGCCTGGGATTACAGGCGAACATTTCCTATGCTATTGAATTAAATTTCATGTTCCTCATTCTAATTCATGGGTAGAATTATACAGAAGTCTTAATGCAGAATAATAATTCTGTGGTTCTAGAGGGTCATCAAAAGATTAAAACACTGGTAGTAGTTGAGGGAAATAGGTTATGGACTCCTAAATTTCAGAGAGATGTTATTCTTCTTGAAAGAAAAATAATTGCAGGAAACATTATAAAGAAATAAAGAGAACATATTTTGCAGCTTCTCTGGGAGGATTAGTGATTTTGCTTCTTATTACTCTACTCACAGTGACTTAAGGTAATAGAATTACTTGATTCTCAGAATAGAAAGGATTACAAAGGTTACCCAGTCCAACCACTTAGACTCTATTCCCAGCATGATGATCCCTCTTAAAGCATTCCTACCTAATTACTACTTGCTTAGTCCCACTGAGAGGGAGCTCTCTGCTTAGAATATTTCAAAAGTAATATAGTAAGAAAAATGTTGGTCTGAGTATCAGACAGACCTGGGTTCAAATTGACCTCACTAGTTTCATGATACTGAGCAAGTCACATCCTGTTGGGTCTCAGATTTCTCATCTATAAAATGAGGAAAGCAATGCATTTTTCATGGTGCAGTTAGAAATGTGAAATAGGATAACATAAGAAACATCTCTAGGATAGTGTCTAGCTTATTATAGGTACTCAATAAATAGTAATTCATAGTACGTAGGCAATAATTGTTAGTTTATTCTCTTCTTTCTTTGCTAAATATTTCCTGGCTTCTGAGGTTGAAAAATGGATCACATTATTATGAGGTAAAAGTTATTAATAGGGCTATAAACACGAAAGAACAATTTTATTCCCTTTATATTTTCTAAATTTAATACCTAATGTTATAGCTTTGAAGTCATAGCGTTTGTTCCAGCAGTGAATTGGGCCTCTATAGCTGGCCAAAGGAACTTTTCCATAATTTAAAAATAAATAAAATATGAATTGCTCTGGTAGTCTGAATCACCCTTCATTTATTGGCCATCAGAATGAACTGAACCATTTTAGCATTTCAGAATTTTAGAGCTGGGAGTAATCTTAGAGATCATCATATCTGGGCCATTCATTTTATAAATGAGGAAACTGAGGCCCAGAGAGATTAAGTGATTATCTCAAGGTCATGCAGCCAGCCTGTGGTGGAGCTGAGATTTAAATATAGGTCTCCTAACTCTAAGTCTCATGGTGTATCCTTTCTATCACATTGCCTCTCCTGAGAATGATAATATTTTCAAATGTCACCTTAATGCTCCTGCCAGATTTCCAAGGCAGTAGTCATACAACTGATTGGAATTCTTTTTCCTTTTTTATTCATCATCTCTTATCTTGAATCTTACCCATAGGAGTTTTATAACAATGTACTTCTTTGAGTTTTTCAGGGAAGACTTGGAAGGGCCTGGAGGAAAGAGAAATGTCAGTGTGGATTAGGAAACATGAAGTGATTATGAAAACAATTAACACCTTTCGATTCCAGAAAAGTGGTTAATAAGAATTTATGTAAACATTTGTTAAATAAATCCCTAGTTCTGGAAATTTCAGTTTAGCTTGTCCCCAACCCTTTTCTTGCCAGATAAATCTCTAAGGTTCCAGCCTCTGGACCAATGCCCATTTTGAGTCCCTGGCTCCAGAGGTCAGTGGTTTTATACTAAAGCCATTGGTTGAAATAGACATCCTTGAAGGGTAAGAAAAGTGGCTCAAAGCCTATTACATACAGCATGGAGAGGGAGCCAAAGGCTGTGGGAGGGCCTAGGGAGGTAGGGTTTGTTATTAGGCAACCAGGCCCAAGGTTTGAAAACTCAGAGCTCTCTAAGACCTGGGGACATTAGGACAGGTTAAATCCAGAGATTCTGGCAGCTGGGGAGTAGTCCCAGCTACTGAAGGAAAGACAAAATGAGAGAAGGTAGGAAGGAGGTAGGAAGAAGGAGATAGTAGGGAAGCAAGGAGAGAAGTAAGGGCAGGGTACAGACAGGGAGAGACAGAGGGAGACACAGATAGAAGCAGAGAGAGTGAGGGAACGTGAGTGTTGCCTTGGTGTATAAAAGCACTTAGAATGCAGTAAAAAGCACTTAGAATGCAGTAAAAAGCACAAGCATCATGATCAGAAAGTCTTACTTTTGAATTCTATTTACTTTATAGCTGTCAATTGGCGAACCGTGGTTTTATTGTCTGAAAATGGCTTAATGTGTTATTATTAAAATGAAAGGTTAAAGAGAAATTAAATAAGTTACATTAAAGTGCCAAGCACAGTGCTGGGCTGCAGCCTCAAGGAGGGCTGGGACTCCTGAGCTATTAAGAGCTCAATAAACCTTTGTCTTCCAGCCCCACCTAGAGGGGCTACCATGAGCTCATGTGCCTCCAGTTGGGAGCTTGTCATTACAGCAACCACAGTAGGGAAGAGGGCTGCCACTCACTGAGCACCGCTCAGGTCCCCACAATTCCCTTGCTTCTCCAAAAACCTCATTGTCTTCTACCCCCAGGGTAGCCCTAGGAAGTGGGTAGGTAGCATAGTTCCAGCTTGAAGGTGAGGCAGGGCCAAAGGGAGTTTGGGTGACTTGCCCAAGGTGGCAGCAGAATTTGAACCCAGATCTGTCCAGCCCTAGGGTTGTGTTCCTTCAACCATCCTCTCACTTCCAAATTAGCAATGTGAGAGGAAGATGACAGGGCAGAGGCAGCTGGAGCATTTCAGCTCTGCTTGGGTCATATTTACCTGACCATGCATGATTTTGGAAAGAGTATCTTGCTGAGGACCCCCACTGCCTACATCCTAGCACTTGGATTTTTCTTGTTCTCTGTGAGAAAGCCCTGCCTGGGCACAGGTGGTGGTCCTAACTGGCAGAGAACAGAGTGACTGATTTCGAACATGAGATGTTTTAATAGCCTGTGCCTAATCGCATAGCCCTTGTGCTGATGAGAAGTTTGTCATGGGCTTTTTGCCAAAGTGAGATCCAGGTGTCATCCTGCGAACTGATTGATCTAGTATTCCCAAAGTGACAACGTGGTCCAGAAAGCCAACCCCATGCAAGGATGAACAATCAGTGGACTAGAGGTAATGAGGAGAACCTGGGCTTTCATGTGAGGACAGATATGCCTCCCATTATGGTGCTGCCCCCACTGTGCCACCATGACCATGGGCAAGAGATTCAACTTTTCTTCACCTCAATTTCTTTATCTACGAATAACAGAGAATAATACGTGCACTCAGATTTGTCCTGAAGATCAGAGCGCTCGCTGTAAAGTGCCTAGTGTAGAGGCTGGCAAGTAGGAGGTTTTAATAATGGTTTTAATAGTGTTATCTATTGTACGTCAAGGATCCTATCTTAAGCTTGGAGAGGGTGGTAGCTGCATCTGCATTGTTCATTGTTATAAACTATTTTGGCCTTGCACCTGGTACATAGTACATAGCTTATTACAGATGGAGAATGGAGAAATATTTTATAGCTGGATTGACAGAACATAGTGGCTGGCTGACTAATGACAATAGAGGCAATTAAGGTCGTTCAGGGCTTTTTAGTTTGAGCAGCTCAAGGTGATGGTGGCATTTGCTAAGTGGGAAGTTCAAGGGGAGGGGCAGACCTAGGGATAGGTATGGGAAAGATGAGATCAGTTTTGAACATGTTGAGTTTGAAGTACCTGTGGGACATCAAGGAGGATTTGACTAGCAGACACAAAATATATGTATCTGGGGTTCAGCAGGGAGAATAGTTGTTCATGCAGACTCAGTTTTGGGAATCATCCTCGTATCACTTAACATGCCGTGGGCTGCAAGTAACAAGACACACTGACTCAGGATTACTTAAATGGGAAATTGGCAAACAGTCCATAGGTGACATCCAGCCCACTGTCTGCTTTTGTAAATCACGTTTTATTGAAATATAGCCATGCCCATTCATTATGTAATGTCTGTAGCTGTTTTCATGTCCAAGGGCAGAATGGTTGGTTCAGAGACTGTGTGACTAGCAAAGCCTAAAATATTTACTTTTTGGCCTTTTGCAGAAAAAAAAATGTACTGACCCCCAATTTACACAGTAAATAACTACATTATCTCATTAAATAAGATCAGAGGCCAGGTTAGTTATTTGATTTAGAAACGTGATGGGGACCCAGCTCTTTCCATTTTACTGGACTCTACCATCTTCAGTATCTCAACTACCCCCCCCTAGGCTGTTTGTGTCCCTTCATCACTGCAAAATGACAGCAGAAGTTCTTTGCAGTTCATCTGGAAATGACATACCCTGATGCAGAGAAAGGGCCATGTCTCTTTCTTGTGTCCTCCTTGCAGAACCTCCCAGCTTCCGTTTGTATCTCTTGCTTCATGATTAAATGTCAGGCTCATGCATGCCCTTGCAAGGGAAATAGGATTAACAGATTGGCTTAGACCTGTGATTCTCAATCCCGACCACACATTAGAATGATCTCTGAAATGTTTTAAAATAAAATCTTCAATAGGTGTGGATACTAGATTTTAAATAAGCATCCCAGGTGATTTTAAGGTGCAGCCAAGAAGGAGCAACCACTGACATGGTTAAATCATTTTGAGAGGCATAGATGTTGGGAACACAAACATGACCAACACATTCTCCATGGAGAAAACAACAGAAGCCATGGATGCTGGGCCCCTGCTCAGGACAAGCTTGTCATGGGTAGTCTTGGCAGCTGGGCTGGACTAGACAATATGTTTATCTCGTTAAGGCCAAAGGTAGCATAATCAGAAGTACAGCTTGTGGCCACGGAGAAAAGCCAGACTTCAGAGTCAAGAAACAGAATTAAGTATCATGTTTAGGGGGAGGGGGACAACATGGAAAGAGGAGATGGGAAAATGAGCCAAGAGTCAGAAGAGGTGAAGGAAGAGGAGTTAAAGGGTTGGAGGTGAGAGGTTCAGGAGATGTAAACCATGAGGGATGCCTAAGGCCAGATGGGATGCAGAGTTGGCTCTGAAGAGGAAAGTTGGTTGTTCTGTAGGGCCAAAGGCATAATGCTGGGCCAAAATGGCAAAGACACTGCCTCCATCTCAGGCCCATGGACTCCATTTGGCATAGGTCAGGATGGCATAGCTAAGGCCAAGTCTACAAGTGGGGCAGCTGCCTCTCTGCTCTCTCTTGTTTGACTCTGGCTCTCTTGCTTGATTCACAAAAGAGCCTGCAGTTTTGCTGATTAAAAAGCAGCCAATTCACCATAGGTTTGGGAGGGCTGAGCTTAGCACAGCCTTTGGAAACTGCTATAAAGAAACTCAAGTTGCTGTCCAGTGACTACTGTTTCCCCCTTCTTTGTACCCTCTTTCTTCTTCTTTTGTTTGTTTCCTCCTATCTTGGGGACCAGGCCCTTTCCTGTCAGCCTCTCTGTTACATCTCTCCCTCATTAAGTCAGGCAAATCGATTCCCTCACTCCATTGCCATCTATTCAGCCATTCGTTAATCTGACATTTATAAAACATTCACCATGTGCCTGGCACCATCGTGCTTTCCCCTGGAGCCACTGAGATGGAAGACCTCTAAGACCACTGTCAGGAGACTCCCATGGAATAGGCAGAGGTGGATATATAAATAAGCAATCATAATTTATGGGGGCAAGATATGACTGCAGTGTGATCTTTTAAGTTATAAAACTTGACAGCATGGTGGAAGACCGAGGGCCCAAGGGCCACATCTGCACCTGCCATCTTTGTTTGGTCTGGAGCAAACCACCCAACTGCATGAATCCAGTCCACTGATCTGCCAAAAGAGTGTAGCAGTGACTGCCTAGAATCACTCACAGAGATCCTGGAGGATTAATATCCACAGCATCTGAGAGAGTGTTTTTACTAAACTGTGTAATCTCATGCAAAGACAGATGCATTTTAAGTATTTTATTATTCTTTCCCTCCCTAGGTAGAAACAACCTTATTATAACCCTCAAGAATCCAATTTTGAAACTCAAATTCTCCTTTTATTTAATGACACAATAGAAATAATATGAACATTGAGTCAGACAGAGCTGTGTTCAAAACCTTGTACTCCCAATTCATTGCTGCATGTCCTTCAGCAAGTTACTAATTTCTCTGAGCTTTATTTTCCACTTTGGAGTAGGAGTAACACAGTAACAGCTAATTCCATGAGTGTTACAAGGAATAAGTAAAATGAAACATATTTAGCATTTATTAAGTATGGCCCTGGAACACTGTGACCATGCCGGAAATAATAGCTACTACCATTATTATTACTAAAAGTGTTATTACCAGTGGTGTGCTGGTGAATTCTTATACTACAGTCATCTTAAAAAGAAAAAAAAAAAAAAGAAAAAAAGAAAAGGAAGAAATAAAGGAAGATAAAAGTCCATGATTTGCCCATTTGCCTGTTTTTGTGGTGTAAGCACTCCCACCATGACTGATTTCAAGCTACTGACATCACAGAATGAAGACTTGGGAATGATGTGCATAACTGACTCTCTTGAGCTGGTGTGAGTCTGCTCCAGCAAACCACTGGTTATTATTCATATTATTCAAGTAAAATGGATGCAATGGGACCAAGGTAGGAGCAGCTCTGAGGGGGAAACAACCCTCCAGATGTTGCAGGAAGGAGTTTTAGCTCAACTGTGCCTGACATTTACTGTCCAACAGACTCTTTGCTAGGGATGACCACTCGTGTCGTAATGAAGGAATTGACACAAGTGTACAAGGTTGTTGTTATTAAAGAAAGAAGCCCAGTAAAAATTCTTCTCTTTTTTTGGAGCATGTGGCTCAGGCGCCCCCTGCTGTGGTCTCTGAAGTGCCTGATGTCCTGTCCTGCATCACACAATGGTCAGAGAGGCCTTCCTTGCTGTCTCTGTACCTGAGATCCCAACTGCTTTTCTAGGGTGAAATGAATAATGGGAAACAATACATTACACCACTTGGGAGTTCTCATGCCCACTTTTTTATTTGCTTCTCATGGCAGGGCACTATTATCTTCATTTTAGAATGAAAGAAATTGAATCTCTATTAGTCAGGTTAATTTAGCAAAAGCTGCTGTAACGATCCTAAAATCTCAATAGCTTAATACCACAAAGGTTTCTCATATCACAGACTGACGAGACTGTGCCATGAGAGTCAGGGGTGTTCCACTGTCCAGAACCCAGTTACAGGACCCTTACCTTTAAGGAAAGTTGGGGAATTTAGTCATTTTGTGTAATAAGGAAGAGGAAAAGTGAGCATTGAGTCAGTCCACACCCCAGAGGCTCATAAGTTATATTGACTAAATGGCCAGTGATGATATACACCTCTGCAAGATCTGATCTCTAAACTCTTTTCCACAGCCTGCCACACAGTCTCTCTCTCTTCCCTCTCATTGGCAGATGTCTTAGTCGATTCTGGCTTCTATAACAGAATACTGTAGACTAAGTGGTTTTAACAACAAACATTCATTTCTCACTGTTCTGGAGGCTGGGGAGTCTAAATGAGGGCACTGGAAGATATGTTGTCTGGTGAGGGCCACTTCCTAGTTTGCAGATGGTTATCTTCTCGTATTCTCATGTGGCAGAAAACAGAGAGCAAGACCAACCTCTTGTGTCTGTTCTTACAAGGGCACTAATCTCATTCATGACAGCTCTATCCTCATTGCCTTATCACCTCCTAAAGGCCCCACTTCCTAATACTGTCATTGGGTATTAGAATTTAAACATATGTTTGTGTTTGGGGAAACACAAACATTAATTTTTTTTTAATTATTATACTTTAAGTTTTAGGGTACATGTGCACGTTGTGCAGGTTAGTTACATATACAGTAGGCCAGAAGGAAGAATCCAGAAGTGGACCCTGAAGAGGCCACAGGGGTGTCAGAGACGTATAATGAAGGCAACCTGAGTCCCTGAGTCACCCCATGGAGTAGAGCCTCCTGACTCACTTAAGATTATGTTAAGCTGTTGAGATTTAGGGGTCAGTAGCTATAATCAATTACTCTGGTCACTTCTGAGTGGGCCCAGAACTCAGATGTTCTGCTTCCTCATTTCCTGTATTTGTGCTGTCAGAACCACACTGCATTTGAATTGCCTCTGATTGGTCAGTCCTTCTCATGCCAGACTGTAATCTCCCTGAGAGCACAAACAGTTTGTGACTCATCTCTGTATTTCATGGTCACTATACAAGACTCAGGGAACTTTGTTAAATATATAACTAAGCAATCATCTATTGTTTAAAATATATATGTATGCACAATAAAAAGATGGCTGGGCATGGTGGCTCACGCCTGTAATTCCAGCACTTTGGGAGGCCGAGGCAGGTGGATCACCTGAGGTCAGGAGTTTGAGATCAGCCTAGCCAACATAGCAAAACCCTGTCTCTACTAAAAATACAAAAATTAGCCAGGCATGGTGGCAGATGCCCATAATCCCAGCTACTTGGGAGGCTGAACAGGAGAATCGCTTGAACCCGGAGGTGGAGGGGAAATTGCAATGAGCTGAGATCGCACCACTGCACTCCAGCCTGGGCGACAGAAAGAGACTTCGTCTCCAAAAAATAAATAAAAAGAAAAAGAATTTTAGAAGGAAGGGGACGAAAATGAAGTTGAAGAAATAAACTATTGTGTTTTTTTGATTGATTACCTTACATTTATGTTCTAAAGGGAAAAGAGAGAAGAGATCAGGAAAGAAAATGTATAATTAAATACTTAGGCTTATAAAGGAGAAAGATCTGAGGATTGACTGTGCCACTAAACTAGTTTTGTGACCTTAGACAAACTACTCAACCACTCTGTGCCTCAGCTTCCTCTTAAAATAAGGATAATATGGCTACCTCAAAGACTGACTTAAAGATTAAATGAAATGAAAATAGGCCTTGATTTAAGATGAAGAGTTTGGATTAGTTTAGTACTTGAACCCCTTCCAGATCTGCCAATTTCATTTATAAAAGTACAGAAATACAGATGGCTTCACAGGCCAATACAAGAATACTTATTACCACCTGGGGGATTAGTATAAACCGGTAGAGACTATTTTCCTCATTCCTTTTACATTTACATTACATTCCTTTTCCTAGCCCCTGAGGGGCTAGGAAAGTAGACCCATACTGGGCCAGGTCCACAGATGACCAGAAAGTGAAGGCCTGGTGGTTGTCATGCTAAATATAAGAGATCAGGGAGATTTCCCATCAGTCTCATAACTAACATTTGGGTAGGATCTCAATGAGCCACAGTTACCTCTTTGGTAAAAATGGAGTAAAAATAGTAGTTACCACTGCCTCATGAGAATTAAATGGGAAAGAAATTTATAAGAAAATGCTTGACACTAGGATAGCAAATAGTTTTCATTTTCCCATGTCAGCATCAATCAGTTGGTACTGGTTGCCTGGAAGGCCATGCTGAGACAAATTTTGAGGTTTCTACTTCCCAGAGAGTGTGGAATAAGGGAAGGAGAAGCTGATAGATTAGTAATGTCTGCAATAGGCATGGAGTACAGGTAAGAGCACATGTGCTGTGCTTCTGAGAGCCCTGCAGGACTAGTACAAAATGGAACATCAGTAAATGTTAGTTGAATGAAGTGGAATTTGAACATAGTTATTGTGCCTCTCTCAATTTTTAAGCAAATAATTGAAGTGGACTATAAAGAAACTGAAATGGGATATTGGGAAATTAACATGGAAATCATACTGCAGGCACTTGACAAAACTAATTAAACTGGGAAATGCGCTAGATTTTTTTGATGCATAAACATTCTTCTTCTCTTGCAACAAGGGGGTAAAACCGACAAGTGTTCAAATTGCGCTTTTATGTGTGTGTTCTTCCAAGCATGTGTGGCGCTTTGAAGAAGGTTCTGTTGTGTTTGTAGCAAGAGGCTCTGTAATTGCTCTGAGAATTCTTGGAATTTTATCAGATGTATGTATATGTTTTTCTTGAGTGAAGGCAAAATATGATCCTTCTTTCTGTAGTAAAAGAATGCAGCTGCTTTCCAACTAAGTCTGTGGCCTTGAGCCTCAGTGTCTGCATCTCTAAGGTGGGAATAATCGTATCTGCATTATAGGGCCGTTATGAGGATTAGATGAGGGAATGGGCATAATGCTGCTTATGAAAAAGTCAGGCCTGTTCACACATTCTGAATAACAGCTTTTAGCAGAGTGCAGCATTGGATACACATGCCAGACTGTCTACACTTGACTCCTAGGTCTGCTACTGACTATTTGTGAGAATTGGAGCAATCTACTTCACCTCTATGTTTGTTACCCAACCTGGAACATAGAGAAAATAATAATGCATACTTCATAGGGTTGTTATGTAAGTTAAAATAATTGATAAAAACCAAGCATTTAATACAATACCTGGCACATAGTAAATGCTCAACAAATCCCAGTGACGACAATGATGAGTTATCATCATCATTATCAGACATAAGGCAAGATAGTTTAATTCACTAAACCTTGAGTTTCCTGGAAATATCATATAAGGAAAGATAGTTTAATTCACTAAACCTTGAGTTTCCTGGAAATATTCCACTATGGTGGTGTCAGAGATAAGTAGAACACACACCTTGCTTTCAGATGGTTTCTATTATAGTGGTGGGAAATAAAGAACAAGTGTACAAACAACTATTTTATACACATTTTCTTAAGTTCTTCTTAAACTGGAAGAAGAGCAGAGCCTTTTTCTTACAATACTTGATATTATCAAAAGATCTTTACATGCATGGTCTCCTTTTATCTCTCTATTAACCCTATATCCTAAAAGCAATCATATACTATAAAATAGGTAGAATGAGTCCCAATAATATATGATTCCCAGCAAGCTATACCTTACACAGTGCCCCCTTATTTCAGTTTTCCTTTGTCAATATGTAGCATACAGCAAAAATGAAGTTTGAACATTGTTCATTGTTTATCTGGACACTTCTGATGGGTTCCACAGTGTAGAGATTAACCACTCACTGAAATGGTTAGCGTGAGGCAATAGTAATATAGTGGAAAGAGCACTAGGTTTACAAGGACTGGATTCTTCCACTTTCTAGGAATATGATCCTGGACTTGGTCAAATTCTTGAGACATCAAGTGTCCTCATCTGTAGAGTGGGGTAATGCTATATACCTTTTAGAGTTGTTCTAGGCTTGAAATTAAAGAATATTTTTGTAAATTTTTGGGCCTAGCTTACATTAGTAGGTGTGTATGCACATTTCCTGGAATATGTGTGGATAAATAAGCACATAATAGACATTATTTAAATGTTTCCACTAACTGTCCTGCTATGATTGACACATGATGCTTAACGTGACCAGACCAATACATATGGTAGTGAGTCTTGTAGAAAATGAAAATGAGCAAGCACCAGAACATGGCTGTAATGAAATAAGGTGCTCAGGGTTGTTGAGTCAATGAGTAGAAGAATTGGAACTTAAACTTGAACCTTCTGATCTCAAATGCCCTGCTGGAACTTGGACATATTCAGTAAGAGGTTTTGTGTTTTAACTGAACTGATGTCTTGGATTGGCATGAAACTAAACATTTCTCTAAGTCTTTCATAGGTGGAAGATGGAATCAATTTTCTTACAATTTTTCATGAAAGATGCTTTATGTAGCATCAGAAGTTCTGCAATCTAATCCCACACTATATTCCTAACCTTGTTTTTATCTAGCTTTATTCACACACCGAACCGCTATGATTGAGCTCCCTGATCTTTATCCATGATTTCCAGCTTTTTAATCTTTGTTCAGGCTGTTCTCTGTCCTATAAATGTCCTTTTTAATGTTAATTGCTATATACCTAACTTACCCTTTAAAACCTAGGTCACCTGCCTCCTTCTTTAGGGATCCTTACTTAACTCTTCCCAGCTGGTCACATTCTCGCTTTCCTCTAAGTTTTCATAGTGTTTTATGTTGTTGTGTTTTGGCCCATTTTTACCTTTACCCTATATTATAATTATTTACCACAAGATCCATACACCTTAACTGTTTGGAAGGGGATAAAACCGGGAATTAGGAGTGTGGTGGTTCTGGATTTGAATCCCAGCTCCAATATTTCCTAACTGTATGATCTTGGGCAAGTTACTCAAACTCTCTGAACTTCAGATTTCTTATCTATAAATGGAAGTAATCTCTATCTCTCAGGGTATAGAGGTTATTATTGTGAGTTCTCTACACAGTGTCTGACAAACAGTAATAGTAGGTATTCCATGCATAGTGATTCTTTTTCTCTTCTTCCCTCTCTTGAAGAGTAGAATATTTGTATGCCACATGCCTAAGTCCCATACACAGTGCTTGACACGTAGAAGATTCTCTATACTATGTAGGTATTATAAAGTAATATAATTTATTTAATTATGTATTAACAAATGGATAGCCAGACATGTGAAAGAATAAAATATGGCCCCCAAATATAAAATAAAGCTGAACTTTCAGTGTTTAGTTTCTATGTCATTAGTATTTTTTTGCACTGTCTATTTTCCTATTTTTCATTTAGATCCATTGGGAGGAGTGAACAGCGTCCAGACCCTTAGGTAGGAGAGGGAGTTATTTATCATCACTGCTTTTAGTCCTCCTTCAGCTGTCTCTTTCTTTTGAGCAACTCTCAAAAGAGACCACACTGTTCTGCCTTGAGTACACTGGCTGGGATATGCTAAAGACAGGTTATCTCCTGGAAGGATGATGCCAAACATGATTGGCATGACTTCCATCTCTGAGCCCTGCCAATGTTGCCCGCCCTTGTGAGGCAGACACCAAAGATGCAGCTGACATGGTGAACTTAAACAAATTCTATTGCTTACACACTGAATTAAGTCTACATCTGTGGCTGTTAAAGTGGGAAAAAAAGATTAATAAAGTACATGTTGAAGCTTGAAAGAATAATTAGCAGGATGTTATATGTTTTGGCTGCAAAAGCCGTCTCCACATTTAGCATAAAGCAGAACCTTTCTTCTAATCCTTCTGAGGATGAGGGATTGGCTCAAACTAAATTGGTTTTCTTTGTGCGTCTTGAGATTTTTTTTTTAATGTTATCATTTTTAAATATTATTATTTTCCAAATTTCAAGTAAGCTTTAATCAGCCTCTTTGTGGGATCTGTGTTGTTTCTGGATTTGCCAGTAACTCGATTAGCTGCCATTTGGGCCCTGATAAAAGAAAGCGCTTGAATTGTGGGCAGCAGAGAGCTTAAATCACACATTTTTCATGGGGGTGCATTCCATCACTATCAGAGCTGTGATGGTGGCTGCTAACAGCCCACCTCACTGAGATGTAGAATGAGTTATTGGTGTACATAATAAACTAACATCTGTACGGTGCATCTCAGAATGAGTGTCAGGGAAGCTGGAAGACAAAGCAGAATGGCATCATTAAGGCCAGATTTAAGACTCCAATTTGTGTAGCATTTGCATAACAATGCACAAGAGCAACTATTCACTGTTCCCTTTCAGAATCCACATGTTTCACCTTCACAGGAGCATTCCTGAGGGACGGGAGGCAGAGAGGAGGTGCTTGCGAGAGAGGGAATCATTCAGTGGGTCAGAGTATCCTTCTTGCAGGTTCAGAATTCACTGGGCAGGAAGGCGGTGCCCTGTCTTGTAGGCTGATGATAGGTCTCCTCTGGCTTACACCAGTTCCTTCTCTTCTGGCTCTGAGTCAGCATATTTTTCAGTCAACAAACATTTATTGAACATTGAAAAGTCAAGAAAAATCCTTGTAGTGCAAAGACAGGACCTCATGCCTTGCCTTAGCCACTTTCTTATCTCTGGACCTATGCTACAGTGATTCATCTTTGTGATCCTAAATATCCTTATTTCTGCAATACTTACCAGTAGTATATTATTACTAATACTGGGAAGAGTTTGCAGCTATTGAGTCCTGACTTTATAGGAGGCAGATGTCAAGCATATTTAATCCTCTCAACAATTCTCTAAGATTAATGATTCTATTCCCTTCTGCTTTTACCCATGAGGAAACTGAGGCACAAAGAAGTAACTTGCCAGTCACTCAATCTCTAAGTAATAAAGGCAGGATATTCTAGTGTCTTTTTATCTCACATGATAGAGTCTCAACAATGTTAAATTGATAAATATTCATTGACTACCTCTGGATGCCAGGCACTGAACTAGATGCCTAAGATTCAACAGTGAACAGAAATGGACATGGCCCCAAGCCTTCGTGGGACTCCCAGAGAAGTTGAGTGAAAAAATAGATGGGGTCACACATCAATCAATAGTAGTGCTATTTTGCCACTGCTGTGTTAATTGGGGAAAGCACAGGCCAACCAAACAGCCTTGGTTTCAAATTCTGCTTAAAATCTGCTTATTGTATGTCCTTGGGCGGGTCTCTTAACCTCTCTGAGCCTTAGTTTCCTTTTGGAAAAAGGAGGAACAATAATTGTACCTGCCTTAAAGAGTTGTTGTAAGAATTAAATATCATAATGAATGGGACATATATTTCTTAGCACAAAGCCTTGCCTCAAATTAATTTTTAAACAATGGGAGCTATTGTCATCATCACTATTATTATTATTAATTAACCAATTTGACTGGAGTGCAGTTAAGCTCCTGTGACCTGAAGGATCAAAAAAGATCTTGCTATTTATGTCTTGTTCAGTATTCTTATCTAGTCTTGCATCTTGAGGCACTGCCTTTTTTTTTTTTTTTTTTAACCAAGGCAGGCGCACAGAGCCCCTCCTGGCCACAGCCAGCTGTCTGGGTATCAGGACTGAGGATCCCCACGAGGATATAGCATGTTTACTGATTCCTCTTCAAAACAGCTTCCCTTAAAGTTGCAGTTGTAACAGAATTGCAGTGTCCTCTGGCCACACACTTGTGAGGCTCTCAGTGCTGTAAAGGAAGGAGCCTCATGTGTTCTGAATGACAATGATCATCTCTGCCCCTAGACACCAGCCCTCTGCTCCCAGTCTCAAATTCTGGCCTAGATATTTGGGCAGACTCATGCATTTCTGTCCTGTGTGGAGTGCCTCCTCTTTCCCCCAGCCCTTCCAAAGCTGTATCATCCCTAGCAGGTTAAAAGCACATGGGCATGAGAGATTTTATTGGAGGGATGAAAATGTGTGAAAATGATTTATGGTGATGGTTACACACCTGGGAAAATTTGCTAAAAATCATTGAATTATACAATTGAAATGGGTGAATTTTATGATATGTAAACTTCACTACAGTGAAGTTATCAATAAAAAGAGGGACACCCAAGCTCACTCTAGTTTCATTTTTTAAGACTCTGTTTTCTTATCTGGAAAACAGGGTCAATTCCTTGTAGCAAAAGGCTTACTAGTAGCTGAGAGGTTTTAATATAAATTTTATTATAGATGTGAAGAAGTGTAACTGTATTAGAGAAAAAGAAAAGTGGAGTCAGTGTGAATGTGTTTGTTTTCCACTCTTCAGGAAGCTGGCTTTAGGTCTGAAATACATGTGGCTTTTTTGAAGAGTCCTGTGTTGAGTGCCTCTCTGTGGTAGGCATTGGCTGCCACTTTCCTCCTCACAAACACGTCATGCAATGATCATGAGAAAACAGGGCACGTGCGTGTGTTTGGGTTGTTCACTGTACTTCAGGCACGATTTAAACAGTTTTCTCAGGATAATTTCATTCAATCTTACAACAACTCTACCAAGGACATTCTATGCATTCACAGATGGAGAAACTGAGGCTCAGAGGTTAAGCAACACCACTTGGCTAGGAGGAGCTGTGTCCATTCCTTTGCTTTCCCCATTACACTTTCTCCAAGATCCTCAACCCTATTAATAAATGCCCCATAAGCTACTGAGGTCCTGCTCCCCATTCTTGTGTTCCCACAGCTTCCCTCCATCCTTTCTCTGGCCCATGGACTGAGGTTCAAGATTTTCAGGTAAACTAAGTGCTTCAAATGGCAGGTGGCTCAACATCTCCACCCCTGGCCTGCCTTGAAATCAGAGCTGCATTTAAATAGCTCTGCCACCAACTAGCTGCGTGACCTCAGCCAGGGCACTTAGCCTCAATTTCTGCAAATGGAAAATATATATTTGTATAACATGTGCATAATAATGTGTATTACTACTGACCCTTCTGGGGTGGCTGTGAAGAATAAATGTAAGAGTGTAAGTGAGAGAGCCTTTCAGAAAACTGTGACTCACTCTGCAGTGTGAGGTGTTACTTCTGGTCACCTCTGCCTATTTCTCTGAGCTCCTTGGTTCTGATTCTGTATTGTAGATCCTGTGCCTTGGCATTAGTCCGTTATCTCACAGCCTCAAAAGCAGAGTTCCGGATGGCCTAGCACTAGGTCTGGAACAAGTAACGTATGCTAATATATTTCCCTTGTATTCTGACCCCCACTTCCCGTCCTGAAGCCTTCGGCTGGGGGTGGCTGAGGAAGGCAAAGGCTGGCATAAAAGAGAGATGGATTCTGGACTTAGAACCAGGCAGAGCAAAACTGGACAGCTACTCTGAGAAGGGGCCGTGTCAGTTTCTGTTTTCTGTTTGTAAACTTCAAGGCCAACAGGTGCTCAGAGCAGTCATCTGACAGTGATGACCAACAATATTTCCCACAAGGCCACCTTGCCCGGGAAGCATCCACAGATGCCAGTCAAAAAGCAATGACCCAGTGGACTTTCAATCTAAGTTGAAGGCATTGATGTGGACCCCGGAGTGCAGGACAGGCAGACTGAATACTGAAGTCAGCACACAAAGAGCAGAACAGTCCTGACCCACACAGGTGGAATCTATGTAATAAAGGGGTCCTAACAAGCTGGGTTAATGACAATTTCCTCATTTGAATTCTATTTCAGAAGAATGCAGGGAATTGTATTTTTAAAGAAATCCTAGAGCACTTTGGCTAACTGAAGAATTGTCTGGTAAAATGAAGTCTCTCCCATCTACAATGCAAATTTTAAGTAGTGTCAGTTGGATTTCCATAAAATTGAGGGCCATCTATTTTAAAACATGTCAGTAAAGAGAAGCCATCAAAATCGGGTTTCTTCTTTGAGGTTTCTTTGTCATTGAAGCGGAGAGGAGCACAATACACTCAATAGCCTGAAAAAGAAAGGGCTTATTTTGAGTTCCTACTATGCCCTGGTGACTGGGCCATCCATTGTCACGTGTGATTTCATCAAATCCTTACATTTACCCATTGAGGGAAGGGCAGTTACCCCTGTTTCATAGACCAGGCACTTGAAGCTTAAGAACTTAAGTGATTTTTCCATGAACACACAAATAATAAAATGAACATTAATATGATAGTCTTTATTAATGATATTCATATTCATAACAATAACATTATATACTAGACATTGTCATGAGCTCCTCCATACATTTTAATTAATCTTTATAATAATAAACCTGTATAACAGATAGTATCACCCTTATATTACAGATTTTAAAAAAAGGACTCAAAAGATAAATAACTAGCCTAAATTTAGAAGACTACTAAATGGTTGAGCTAAGTTTCAAACCCAGGTCTGCCTGGATTCAAACTGCTTGTTGTTTTCGTATTTATTTGCTTGTTTATTTATGACATATGCTCTCTAAAATGGCTTTATCAAGTCATTAGTTTATTTAGAATGTTGTGGATTCTTCTCTCTCTCTCTGTCTCTCTCTCTATATATATATATACACCTTGTGTTAACTGCTTGTATCTGCTGATTTCTTTGTTATAGGTAACTAAAGGGAAACTGTTATCTTTGCATTATAGAAAATGACTCAGAAGTGTGATCAATGTACAGAACCTCACAGATAAAGAGCCATAAGCCAGAACCTGTATTTTTCTTCTAACATCCTAGTAGTCCAGAAAAGAAAAGAATGTGGATTGTAAGGCTGATGGATATGTATGAATAAAGTGGAAGAATATGGGCAGATGGAACAATGTATTATCTTTAAGAACTATAGAATTAACTCATAGCCTAAAGATACCAAAATATGCTAAATACTCACTAGTTTAAAGAAAAACAAACAATTAAAAATCTTCTGATATGATAACACAGAGCCCTGCCAATTCATCAGTTAAGGAAGGGGTCACAGACTAACCAAACAGAGGGACCGTCCAAAAACTCTGAACTTAATATTGTGGATACAGCTCAAGATCAGTGTATCAGTTGCCTGTGGCTCCTCTAACAGATAACCACAAACCTGGTGACTTAAAGCAACAAAAGCTTATTTTTTTGCAATTCTGGTGGCCAAAAGTCCAAAATCAGTATCACAGGGCTAGAATTAATGTGTTGGGAGGGCCAGTTCCTACTATAAAATTTGGAGGAGAATCTGTTCTTGCCCTTTGCAGCTTCTGGTTGCCAATATTTTGGGGCTTGTGACCACATCGTTACAACCTCTGCCTACATCTTTATACCACCTTTTCCTTTCTGTATGTGTGAAATCTCCTTTGCCTTTTATAAAGAGACTGCAATTGCATTTAGGGTTGACCTGGATAATCCAGGGTAATTTCCCCATCTCAACATCCTTAATGTACTGATATCAGCAAAGACTCTTTTTCCTAAAAAGATAACATTTTCAGGTTTTAGAGATGAAGACCTGACATCTTTGGGGACCATTATTCTGCCTACCACAGTCAGAAACTGGATCCATAGTACTCCCAGACAGCAGAGGGATAATCTGTGGTCTTTTTAATCCTTACCCCCATGCCCCAAGTGACAATGAGACCTTTCCTAAAGCTTACTTCCTCACCTGCTGAGAATGCAGGAGATGTGTGGTTCAGAAAAAGGGCCTTTTCAGCTGGGTGTGGTGGCTCGTGCCTGTAATCCCAGCACCTTGGGAGGCCGAGGCAGGCAGATCACCTAAGGTCAGGAGTTTGAGACCAGCCTGGCCAACATGGTGAAACCCCATCTCCAGTAAAAATACAAAAATTAGCCATGGTGGAACATGCCTGTAATCCCAGCAACTCAGGAGGTTGAGGCATGAGAATTGCTTGAACCCGGGAGGTGGAGATTACAGTGAGCTGAGATTGAACCACTGCACTCCAGCCTGGGTGACAGAGTGAGACTCCATCTCAAAACAAACAAACAAACAAAAAAGAGCCCTTTGACTAGAAGTTGATGGGCTGACTAAGGCTTTCCTGAACCAGAAAAAAAGTAGGGAGGAGAGAGATGGAGCAAGTGAGGGGCAAGAGAAAGGATGGGAAAATTGGGGGTGCAAGGAGAGAAAATGGAGAAAATTGAGAAAACAAAAACAAAGAGAAGGGGAAGGAGAGGAAGGGATTATGAGGGGAAAAAAGCATGATTTAGAAAAAAGTGAAGAAAAGTAAAATGGAAAATTAAGAAGTTAAGAGAGAAGAAAGGGTAGGTAGGGAGAACAAGGGAAGATGATGAGAGCAAATTTGAGAGAAAGGGAAGATGGAAGAGAAAGAGATTGACAGGAGACAGGAAGATAAGAGAGAAATGTGGAAGATTAGAAGGCAAAAAAGGCTGGGTGTGGTGGCTCGTACCTGTAATCCCAGCACTTTGGGAGGCCAAGGTGGGCTGATCACTTGAGGTCAGGAGTTTGAGACCAGCCTGGCCAGCATGGTGAAACCCCGACCCTACTAAAAATACAAGGATTAGCTGGGTGCAGTGGCACATGCCTGTAATCCTACCTACTCAGGAGGCTGAGGCACAAGAATCACTTGAACCCATGAGGTGGAGATTGCAGTGAGCCAAGAATGCCCCATTGCACTCCAGCCTGGCTGACAGAGCGAGACTCTGTCTCAAAAAAAAAAAAAAAAAAAAAAAAGGCAAAAAAGAGGAGAAGAGAGAATAATTGAGGGGGAAAAGAGACTAAGTGGGAGATAGAGCAGGCAGAGAGAGGAGACCAAGAGACAGCAGAGCTGGAGCTCATGCTGGAGAAAATATTAAAAGCATTTGAAAAGATGACCAATGTCTATGTGTTTATGTGCCAAAACACATACAGCAGCTGCAAGTCACAAATCACATTCATCGGCTGTTACAGTCTGGTAATTGTCCATACAGATATTTTCTTTCTGGTTCCAAACCCTGGCTTATCAGAGGACAACATGCTTTTGAAATGCCACATTACTTTGTAAGTACATTTCACATCCAAAAGTTGCACTAAGTATGATACACTGAAGACTTATTTCATTTCCATTCTATGTAGCTCCCAGGCTCTAGCACAATTATTTTTAAAGGGCCATTTTGATTTCCAGTTTCCTGCTCTTCAAGGGCAGGACAGACCTTCCCACTGACTGTTTCCAAATCAGCCATTTAGCCTCCTCCCTCCCTCCCTCCATTTCTCACTCCTTTCCTCCCTCCCTTTCTCCCTCCCTCTCTTCCTCCCTTTCTTTCTTCTCTTTTCTCTCTCCCTCCTCCCCACTCCCCTTTCCTCCCTTTCTTCTCTCTCTTCCTCCTTCCTTCTTTTCCTTCTTTTCTTCCTTTAACTCCTTTTCTTTCTTCCTTCTCTTCTTTCTTTCTCTCCCTTCATTTCTTCCCTCTTTTGTCTTTCTCTGTTTCTCTCTCTCCCTCTCTTCCTCCCTCATCCCTCCCTGCTTTTAACTGTCTTTTTTATAAGGCAGCATAAAGCTGTAGACCAGGGTTTCTTAAACCTCAGCACTACTGACATTTGGGCTGGAAAATTCTTTGTCCTGGGGGCCGTCCAGTGCATTGTGAGATCTTAGTAGCATCTCTGGCCTTTACTCACTGGATGCCAGTAGCAACTCTCCCCACCTCAGTTGTGATAAACAAAAATATCTCTAGACATTACCAAGTGTCTGCTGGGGGCAGAATTGCTCTTGGTTGAGAGAGGCTCTAGTCTGTCCTCAGACCCAAGCTCCAATCCCACCCCACTATTTCCTGGCTATGGGATCCTAGGGAAATCCCTCAAATTTACAGAGGGTTCAGAATCTCCTGTAGTGCTTGTTAAAACACAAAGTGCTGATCCTACCCCTGGAGATTTTGAGGCAATCGATTTGGAATGGGGACCTGAGAATGTGCATTCCTAACAAGCTGCTGATGCTGCTGGTCCAGGACACACTTCGAGAACCACTGCCCTGCCCCTAACCTGGCTGATCTTCAGTACCTTCACCAAACTGTACAGTTCATAAGACTCCCTTCTCTGGCTTGTTCTACAGGTTATGAGAAACGATGTATTTAAGATACTTAGCATAGGACCCTGGCCCATGATAGCAGATTAATAAGTGGTAGCTCATAAAGAAAGTCCTCTTAAAGGAAGGTTAGTCTTTGGCAGGAACAGCGAGGATTAAAAATGTATATGGATATATTCACAGCAGCTCACAAATGCTCCCATTTTTAAAGAAGAGGTTCAGTGGCTTTTCAGTAACAAAGTACATGTGCTTATTAATAAATCCTCTCAGTGGGACCAATTCCCTGCAGGAAGATAAATGGAGAGCCAGCATTGCACCTGAGATCCTGGAAATCTAAAATTGATAATCCATGTACATACTTGGCAATAAGAACAAGTGCAAACTCTGTTACTAATGTCCACAAGAAAGAGTATCTGTGGATACTGTTGCCTAAAAATCCTAATATTCTCTCCCTAGCTGAAAGGACTTTGCATTTTTCATACATCTACTATGTGCCAGGCAATATGCTAAATTATATACATGTGTACGTTAATTCCTCAAACTACTCTAGAAAGTCTTATCTCTGTTTGTCACATTAAAACTGGGAGTGAGGCTCATGCCTGTAATCCCAGCACTTTGGGAGACCAAGGCAGGTGGATCACCTGAGGTCGGAAGTTTGAGACCAGCCTGGCCAACATGGTGAAACCCCGTCTCTACTAAAGATACAAAAATTAGCTGGGTGTGGTGGTGTGCGCCTGTAGTCCCAGCTACTCAAGAGGCTGGGGCAGGAGAATCACTTGAACCCAGGAAGCAGAGGTTGAGCTGAGATCGCACCATTGCAAGAATCTGTCTCAAAAAAAAAAAAAAAAAAAGAGAGAAAAAAAAGATGAGGACTCAGAGGTTAAGTGATTACCCAGTGACATCATTTGAAATTTACAAATATCTAGTGAGGAAGCACTATTATTATCCCAGCTTACAGCTGAGGGAGCTGAGGCACTTGGTGTTAAATAACTTGTTCAAGGTCATGCACAAGGCTAGGCAATGGCAGAATCGAGATACAGACCCAGACTATTCCAGGGCCTACACTGTCCTATACCTACGTGTGTTTATACTACATTGTCTCTGGCAGGACACAGAATTTCTAGAAGTACCAGGGAGAACTTGCAAAGGAGCAGATCAAAACAGACAAGAGCTTTCTGAGGAGTTTATGAAGGGCTTTCATTCCCCTCCTACCTTTATTCTTTAGAAGACAGGCAGAATAGAGGTTTTCTAAAGATACTATTTTGTTTCTCTTCTGGCACTGATCATATTTAATACAGTGATTTGTTCATGTGCAAGGTTCTTGAGGGGAGAAACTGCATATTCAGCTCTGTGTTACTCCTATCTAGTATAGTGGCTGGCACACAGAATACACTTGTAGTCATTAGATCAAATTGGGGACCAATGAACTTCACCTTTCAGCAGCAACGAGGTTGTTATCTGGAAACTAAATGATTCTGATTCTGGATTTGGTCAGTGCTGTCTCAGATTCTTCTACTGCATAAAAATTTCTCCTTCTCCCCTCAGACCCCACTTCTATTCTCCCTAGTCTTCACCCCCAGTTCAGCAATATTTCCCTAAGGGGAGTTGCACTATGCTAATCACTAGGGGTATCCTCCCCAAATCGGATGCTGTTAGTGGTGGCAAATCTGTAGGAGTCTGCAGCAACCTCAAACCTTGCCTCCTTGGAAGAAGGAATTCAACTGAGGGGCTATAAGGCAGAGGGAGGGACCAAGACAAGTTTAAGAGCAGGAGTGAAAGTTTATTAAAAAGTTTTAGAGCAGGAATGAAAGGAAGTAAAGTACACTTGGAAGAGGGCCAAGCAGGCAACTTGAGAGATTCAAGTGCACAGTTAGATCTTTGACTTGGGGTTTTATATGTGGGCTTTCTGCATGTGCAGTGGCCTGCCAGCACTTCCAGCACTTGAGAGGGCCTGCATGCACAGTGTTTTACTTAAATTGTACATGTGCTCACTGGAGGCTTTCTTCCCTTACCAGTCGAGTGTTCATAGAGAAAGATCATATACTAGTTAAACTCCTCCATTTTACCTCTTAGTGAACATGCTGGTGCCCACTTGCCGAGCTTCCCAATAAGTTGGGAAGCTGCTAATCACCAGATTCAGGTGTTTTTTTATGTACTGGGAGATGGCCTTTCCCTGGTGCTGACTGCAACCACTTATTATTTGAGAAAGATAGTTTAACAACTACCTGACCATCACCTGATGGTTTTCTGACATTCCTGGTTGGCAGTGGGGTGGAGGCGGATCTCTATCCTGCTCTGCTCATGCCTAACTACCTACTCTAACAATACTTTACACTCTCCAGGCTCACCAACAGACCCCCCAAATGCTAAGAGTGGCCTGGCATTAAAACGAATCACTAAGGAAGAGAAAATTCTAAGAATCCACAATTTAAGGGAAGAGTCATAAAATAATTACATGCTAAAATCTGAGAGACTTATAAAAATAATTTGTCCCAACATTTGATAAGACCACAGCCCAGTGAGTTACATGATTGTCTGACATCTATGCAGAGCTAGAAGGGGGGATGCAATTTTCCCTATTCTCAGAGTTACACTTTTCCACCCTTCTGCATTATTTCTGTCACAGTCGGAAGATGCTGTCAAAGTGATTTGACATCTATAAAAACAGCTTAGATAAACCAGAAAGGATCAAAGCAAGGGCTCATGAATGATAGTCATAATTTTGAGAAAAGATAAAGAACGTGAATTTCAACCCAGCAAATGAGGGCAAATTTCCAAAATTTGGGATCCTCAGAAAACAGGATTTATGATCTCTTTTGCTACACTACCTTGCTACCTTGTTACTTATGGGATTTAGTCTGAATTGTTATTTTCGAAACTTCTACTATGTATAGTGCTAAGTTTTTGAAAAATACATAATCTCATTTAATTCTCATCACAATTCTGAATGGGGAAGATCATTATCCTTATTTTTCTTTTTTTGAGACAAAGTCTCACTCTGTGGCCCAGGCTGGAGTCCAATGGCACGATCTCAGCTCATTGCCTCCTCTGCCTCCCGGGTTCCAGAGATTCTCCTGCCTCAGCCTCCTGAGGAGCTGAGATTACAGGCACCCGCCACCATGCCTAGCTAATTTTTGTATTTTTAGTAGAGACGGGGTTTCACCATGTTGGCCAGGCTGATCTCAAACTCCTGGCCTCAAGTGATCCGCCCGCCTCGGTCTTCCAAAGTGCTGGGATTACAGGAATGAGCCACCGCGCCCAGACTATCCTCATTTTCCAAATGAAGCAACTAGGGTGCAAAGAAGCTCAATGACTTTGCCAAGGTCACACAACTTAATAAATTTAGTAGAATTTAGATTCTATCCTGGATCCATGTATGTGCTTGGTCTGTGGGGCTTCTGTACCTTTTTTTTTTTCTGAGAAACCTGAGACTCTCAATAGCAATTTAAAGACCCCTGCTGGCCTCATTTTCAAGTCTTTAAACTTTCAAAGTTTTCAAGGTTACCCTGTAACTCGCTAGTCCTTTTTCCCTAGAGGGTCTTGATCTTGATAGCTGTGAGTAAAGGTTTGTTTGAATAATCCATTAACGTTGAGAAAATTACCTTTGCATTATGAAGTATTCTGTGTCACTTTAATACTAATTACTCTAACTGTATTTATTGAGGATTAATGACAGCAATATTTTATTAATAACCAACTGGCATTTATTATTGAATAAATAGAGTGCCTCATTAAATATAGATGCATTTTTATTTGCACACTTTCATTGAAAATGTTGCCAAATTTTTTTGCATTGATTAAAAATCTCATAAAATGGTTGGCTAGTGTTACCTTTGTGCCCCACTTTCTCCCCAAAAGAGTCCCTGGCAATTCCTGCACAATAGGTAGACTTTGGGATTATTCATCAGTCTGTCAGGAGAAGTCCCTTTAACAATGCACAGCTGCTATGAATTCTGGTTGCTATGAGAACCTCAACTTTTTGCTCTTCTCTCACTTTGTTATATTTTCATGTGTAACCCTCACCTGATATTAGGAGGTTCCTGCATTTAAAAACTTGAGTACCCTATAAGTAGCTCATCTGAAATCATGTACCTGGGGGAGCTGGAAACTACTGTCTTTGCCTTTCATTTGCAGTTGAGGAAACTGAGGCCCAGAGAGGGGTGGTAACTTGCTCAGCAAAACACAGACAGTTATCAGCAAAGCAAGGACCAGCACAAGGTCTCCTAACCGTCAGTGTTCTTTCGGCTGTACCACACTGCTCTGCTCCGGTAATTCTGACATCCTCTCTCCAGGTGCCAATGGTCTCATCCTTCTTTCTTCCTCTCTTCTTTCTTTTTTTTTAATCACTAAACAATCCAAACATTACAAGTCTGCTTCACTTGTTAATAGTTGCTTTCAAATTTTTCTAGCTGAAAGCTCCTTCCTCCTAAGAATTCCATCACCCTTTAGAGTTGTCCCCACCCACAAGGATCTCCAGGTGTATGCTCATCTATTCTCATCAAACCAGTCAGTCCGCTACCCACATCCTGTCCGCCCCCAGTGTTGGATGCTATCCTGAAGCCCTCTGAATGTGCCTGTCTATTCCATCCGAATAATGCCCAACATAAGTAGGCCAGTGTCCACACAGAGATGCTTACTCCCCATGCCCCAAAGCTGCTGGTCCTAGGATACTGGAGCATGCTTGGGATCAGTGAAGGAGCTAAGCCTTGTTCCCCAACTCCCAGAAGTGCTCTGTGCATCTAGGCCTCACAGCAGCTTGGCCTGTGCTCTGAGTCTCTTACAAACACAACGGCTTCAGCTTCTGACCTCACTTCTCTGCTCATACAGCCTCCAACTCAGACCAGAAATGAAGTGGAAGAGGGAGGTTGCAGATGCCATGCTCTTCCTTTGTTGTCCTCCTCCTTCCTTCAAGGTCTCTGATCTCAGATTCTTTCCTCTTTCAAGGAAAAAGTAAAATAAAAGTCCTCATACATGTCATCCAGATCAATGCAGGACCACAGGATTCTGCAGGCTTCAGTTCCTCATATAGACAAACTCAGCATCTCATCTCTGTCTCAGCTGGGTTACCTTGCTCTATGTACACTTTACTCCCTTTGTCCTCCGCCTTTTGCTGCCAGACTTAATAGTCAGAGGCCTTGCAGCCTCAGCTGTTCCTACTGTTAGTTCACACCTGGAATTAAAGTGTGCCTTCTGCTATAGTAGCCTTGCCTCTGTTCCCCAACAGGCTACGCTTTTATAAGGAGAGAGACCTCTTTGGTTTATTTTATATTGTATTTGTATTATTTAAATTCTGTGTTTTCAGCACTTAGCACAGGGCCTGGCACATTGTAGGACCTCCAGAGATACTTGTAAAATACTAATGAATGAATGCCTAAATGCCTCTTTCTACTGGGGTTGGGATTGTAGGAACCAGTGCAACTGAACTTTCTTTGACCTAAGGAACGAGCTAAACCTTTGAATAAGGGTCTAGGCCAATTTCCAGCTTCTGCCAGTACAATGAGCTCTAAAACGTGACATTTGCATCTATTTCACTAAGACTTGTGGACTCCCCCTACTCCCCCAAACTCTGTAACAATAGAAGTCCTCATTCCACTAAAACCGTGTCATTTCTTTAGCGTTTTGAGGGTTAGAAACTAGGACAAGACTATCAGCCAAATGCAGCGGGTACCAGTGTACTGACTGTATATCTTATCAGATATTCAAGAATGCAGCAAGAAATGTCATGGGGAGCTTTCGACAAAAATATTTAATTAATATCAACAGCTACAGAAATGAATAACACCATCCAGGCAATTACAGTGTTCAATAAAGCAGCTCTCCGAGGATGGGGTGGCAGCAGATTACTGACTGATGGACTGCATTTAAATATATTATCTGCTCATTGGAAAGACTCCGGTGGGTTCCTCCCCTCTAGGACATGGCCAGCAGTAGTATTATTATTTTATCTTTTTTTCTTTTTAATAGAGTGACAAATTGAATTATCTGAGAGAGTGGTCAGAGATTTCTAGCCCTCTCTGAAATACCCATGCATTCCGTGACCCTAGCAAAGAATACCAGGAGAAATGGAGGAATAGCTGGAAATCACCCTAAATGTGTTGTGCTCAGGGTAAGTGCTCATGAAAGTGTTAAGTGAGGGTCAATAGGAAAAGCTTGGGCTTTTAAGTTTCCAATTCTGGCTATGTGACCTTGGATAAGTTACTCCACTTCTGTCAACCTCAGTTTTTTCTTGCTCATAAAAAGGTGTACTGAGATTTACATAGCTGTGCGGAGTTGGTGATGAAGGAAGATAACCCATGTAAGCTCCTGGCATATGGTAGAAGTTCAATGTATGGTAGTCCTTTCCCTCCTAGGTAACTGCATCGGGGTCTAGAAGTGGAATTTGGTTTCCTGGCCACTGAGAGGTTCATGGTAGTGACATGGCACCAGCTGTAGATAATAATAGTAAGGGCAATCAAGCAGTGAAAACACAGCATCTAGATACATGGTAAAACACCACCACAAGGATTCAAGCAGAGCCTAAAATTCCATGTAAAATGCACAACTGCCTTATTATAAGGTTAATACAATGATCAGTTAGGACAGGACCCAGAGTGAGAGAATCAATCAGAAAGAATCTGTCCTCACTCTGAAAACGCTGAGTGTCCTCTTTATGAGAGAAGTGATTCTGGGGCACATCATAAACACCTAGATGCCAGTTCTCATCACCTTCCTTTGGGCCAGACTGAGAAAGTGCAGGGAGCAAAATTTCCCTTTCTTACTCCTGGGTAGTGGAATTATATTTTCTACCTCATCTTTATCTACACTGCCTATTTTTCAATAACTTTGTGTTCCTTCATTGATGTAAATTGAAGTATAGCACATACATATGAAAAAGTGCACAAGTCCTATCTATGGAACTTGATGAATTTTTCCAAGGGACACAACCATGTTTCCAGCACCCATATGAAGAAGTAAAGGTTTTCTGGCACCCTTGAAGCCCTATCCTACCCTCTGCCAGTCAGCACCTGACCAAGGTAGCTACAATGCTGTCTTCTAACTGCATGGATTAGGTTCACCTACCTTTGAACTTTATATACTGTATGTACGTGGAATCATGCCGTGTGTATTTTTTTTGTGTCTGGCTTCTTTCACCCAACATTATTGTATTAGTTTCATAGTCGGTAAAAAAGGAATTCCCACTTTGTGGAAGAGACAGCCATCAAGTACAGCGAGCTCTGGCTGACTGCATGTGGTCTCCACTCTGCTGTGTCTCTGCGTCTGCTTGTGCAGGTCTCTACCTGGAATGTCCTCCTTGACTTGACCTTCTCAACTCGGGCATCCAATCTCCCTTCCACCATCAGCAGCTCTAGAGAGCGTTCTCTGGCCTACTCCTTTTTTTTTTTTTTTTTTTTTTTTGAGACAGAGCCTCAATCTGTTGCCCAGGCTGGAGTGCAGTGATATGATCTCAGCTCACTGCAGCCTTCGCCTCTCAGGTTCAAGTGATTCTCTTGCCTCAGCCTCCCAAGTAGCTGGTATTACAGGTGCCTGCTACCACACCCAGCTAATTTTTGTATTTTTAGCGGAGATGGGGTTTCGCCATTGGCCAGGCTGGTCTTGAACTTTTGACTTCAAGTGATCCACCCGTCTTGGCCTACCAAAGTGCTAGGATTACAGGCATCAACCATCATGCCCGGTCTTGGGCTTGCTCCTATGCCTCTCCTTTGGGCTGGCCTCCCATGGCTTCTGTGCTTCGGCAGTCACAGTACTGCTCATACAATGGTGTTCCTGTCCTCTGCGAGTCCAGCTTGCCCAGGAGGTGACTCAGGGGCAGGAGCCATCTTTCATTCTTTATCCCCAGAACAATGCCTGGCTAAGGGTGTATATTAGTCGATGCTTGTTGAATTTAACTCATCAAAATAAAACAACATAGCATTGTCACCCACAAGAAGTTGACTGAAATTTTAGGTTACCAGAAAAGTTACTGATTGTCAGTATTTTAGAGAATTATTCCACACTCATTGGAGGTAATGTAATGTTTTATTAATAGCCTCTGCCTCTATTAATTTCTCCCTGACCAGCAGAATGGAAAATGAATTAGTCAGTTCCACACATTATTATTCTGTTTGTGTGTGCCAAGCACTGTGGTAGGCAGGAGAAATTTAGGGTAAAGCGTGAGAGAGAAGTAACAAAACCTATGTTGTAGAATTGCTGTGAGAATTGACGATGGCATCATACAGAGCCCACTGCTTGGCCACAGTCATTATTCCACAAATGCCACGTCTCATCCTCTCCTCCCACCCCAAGTAGCAGTTGTGGCCTGGAAGAGTGCTATGACTCCTGGTGTCCAAACAGCCTGGGGTGAGGCCTGGGTACCTATCTGAGTACCCTAAACACTGTGTGTGTGCCCAGTGTAAATGACTGGCCTTCTCATTGATCTCTCTGGCATTTCTTCTGGGATTGTCTTGCTGGAGTACAGAGAGTCTGCCACCCTCTGTCTGGGCCCCTCCCCCGGGCCTGATTATATGGGACCAGCATACTGCTGCCCCTAGATTCCCCATATTGCCCACTGCCTCCTCTCACACTGCTGTCTTTATCTACTCTGTCCCGTCCTCAGTCTGGACCTCTGGGGGAAAGGCAGCAACAGGCCTTGTGGACAGAACATGCATGTCATGCTCCGAAAGACCTGTGTCAGGCCCCTCCCTCTGCTCTTAAACACTGGGTGCCTTTCAGTGGGTGGATTAACCTCTCTGAGCTCAGTTCCTCACCAACTTGTTGTTAGGATAAAAACAGTGTATGTATGTGAGACGCTTAAAGTTAAATTGGGAAGGGAACTAACAAATGGATGTTGGTATGTTTGGGGATAAATTAAATCAAGTTGGGCTTTGTTGGTGAAGAGCATGGGCTTTAGAATGAAACATATTTGGATTGGATCCCATTTCTGTCATTTACTGGCTGTGTGATTATGGGAGAGTAACTTATTCTCTGTAAGTCTACCTCATAGTGGCATATGCAGTAGTAAGTGTTTAATAAGTTCTGCTGTTGCATCAGCAGCATCATTATTTTGGACTCAGATGAAGTCCCAGTTCATCATCACCCTTAGACACCATTTCCTGGGAGCTGAGGAGACACTCTGCTGCTTGACCAGCTGGCTATTCCTGCCCTTGCCTTCCTCCCTCTGCAGTCTTTCAGTGATGGGTTCCCAGGGTGCCTTGCAGCTTGGCTTGGCTGAGTTATGAGGTCAGGCTCGCAAATGACAGATTCAGGTCCTGACACATCATGGAGAAATGGTGCCTGATTTACCTCTTTCCAACCAATACTCTGAATTTTGAGGGAGAAGAAAAGAAAGGAGGTGGGTGTAAAAAATAATGCAAAGTCTCAGAAATTAATGAGGTAATGGCAAACATATTTTCATTCAAATGAGCTGGGGTCATGTTCTTGAGGTGGCAAAACAGAGGAATAGCCAATTGAGTAAGCTCAAAGTGGAAATCAAGCAAACAGGCAGAAGAAATCAATGTCCTGGTGCATCTTTTTTGTGGCAATTACTTCTCTGAGCCTCCCAGCCCTGGTGCCCCATGTTTGGGCTACAGATGTTCATTTAGCAGCCCCAAGTTTGACATCTTAATGTCTTCCTTCCTATATTAAAAATGGATATCTGCTTCAAAATTCATATACGTCACTAGTGTTTCCATCAAAACCTTTCTATTTAAAGAAACAGTCAGGAGAAATTGAGGGGTGAGGGCATCTTCATGGGGTGGGAAGAACTTTACCCTAGGAGTCATGCTGTTTGGCATGTAGTCCTGGCTTCATTCTTTAAACTGTGTGGCCAAGGACAGAGCACTCCACTTGTTTGAATCAAAAGGAAAATAGGTTTAATCATCCCCACTCATTTGATCTTTGTGTAATGTGAGTATTTCATGTGTTTTCTGGGATGGGTGTTGAAGTGTTTCTGTTGATTATAAAGTGAAGGCATAGTGGTGAGTATCACCAGGGTGTGGGGGCTCTAGCGAGAGGAGGGGGATCAGGTAATTACCTATCAGGCTCCTTTCTCAGCACTTTACTCATATAACCCTCATGCCTACTCTATGAGGTATTAGCATCATTATCCCCATTTGGTATCCAGAGAAACTGAGGCATGGGGGAGTTAAGTAACTTGTCCAAGGCCACATAGCTAGTAAGTGGCAGAACTAAGATTTGGAGCCCAGGCCCACTTGACTTCAAGTCTGTGCTCTCCTCGCAGAGGGGAGGGCTGTAGACTTCAGATGACCTCTGAAAATGCTTCTTCCAGCAGAGAAAACCAGGTTCTTGAGAAATATGGAAACAGAAGGAGCCAGAACTAAGGCTGTTGAGGTCTGGCCTAGGATCTAGGTATGCTTTGCCTCTTAGCTACCCTCAGCAAAAGCCAACATTGGGAATGCCTGCTGATTTGAAAATAGTATTTGTATTTCTTTAGCTTCATAAAGAGGCTCTAGGGTAATTTGGCTGTTAAGGAATTGGAAGGCTAAGGAATACTGGCTATCTGAAGTCCCCACCCCTCTCTCTCAATCCCTTGCCATCCCACACCCCTCAAATTTTCTACCAGGGAACCTTTGGAGTCTAACAGCCCAGTCAGCACTGGCTGTGCTTAAATTGCAATAACAGGAGGCAACAGGCCCTGGGGGATTCCATCTCATTAGAGGCCAAGATGAAGTTTGTGCAGAAAAGAAGTCTCAGTGACCAGGATCCTGCTCCCCAGCTCAGTGTGAGGGGTCTTCTCCCAAGGGGAGGGAACTCAAGGTTCCTGAACACATACTATGTTCCAGGAAGTTTACCTAAATGGTCATTTGAAACCTTCGAATCCCCAATCTGAGATACATTTCATTTTCCCCATTTTATAGGTGAGGAAAAGAAGATCAGAGAGGTTAAGTCACTTGCCAGGGTGACACAGCCACAGAGTGAGTGGGGGGGCAGAATTGGTATGCAGGTTTGTATGATTGTACATGCCCTGTGTCTCCACTCTGGCAGCCTGCCTCTCGTTAAGTAACCTCAGGCCTCTGCTTCCCTGGCAAGCTCAGTCTGGATAGGACAAGCTTTTGGTTTTCTCACTACGCTGCTTGCAAAGCTGAAATCAACCAATGGCCGCATGTATGTGGTCAGGACCTCCTCCAGGGCATCCTTAGTGTTAACATAGATGAGTCTCTTCTGGGTGGGATTGGGTTCCTAAGTACACACCTGGCCCCAAGCTCAGTAGGGACAACCCAATTGTCAGTTCTCTCTCATATTATCTACTTAATTGCAATCTCAAAAAGGAAAGGACGAGTGAATCCTGCCCACCAGATGCTCCAGGCATGCGATCGCATCCCAAGTATACTCGTTGTCTTTGCTGCTTTTTCTTCTTCTCCATTAGTAACCGACCAGTGTTTTCCTGAAAAAAAAAACAAAAAAAACAAAAAAACCCTCTCACTTTGGAGGGGACACTTCACAGCACTCTCCATTCCCTCCCCCAACTCCTTCACCAGCAAATTAAAACTTCTCTCTGAGCGCCAGCAGAGGCAGGCAGGCATCTTATATAAATGGTAATTAGTGCAGCCTCACTGAAGACTTGGTGGGAAAGAAGTCATCTCCATTTCAGAGCTGAGCACCTTTAGCATTCCTTTGGACCTCTCTTAAGGTAGCTTATCACACTCTGCCACGTATGGTTTATTCATTCATTCAAAAAGGTTTCATACCACAGTGGAAAGAGCACATGTCTTAACTTTTGGCACACTTCAGTTTGAATCTTGGGGATCTCAGCTGTGCTACTTGGTAACCTTTGACCTTGGACAATAAACTTCACCTTCCTATGCCCCAGCTTGCTCTTCTTTATAACTAGGGAACCAATACTACCTTCATAACATCGTGGTGGGTTGAGTGAGATCATATCAGTGAAATACCTCACACAAAAGGTAAAAATAACAATAGACTCACAAACTGTAAGTTACCATTATAGAAAATAGAACCCGGATGTGTCTATGTGGCTGGGAAGAATTGTCTGCTGGAAGGGCTGATGCTGTGCAGGGAGCTGCAGTTCCCATTATCTGAAGAGCGTCCTATAAATGGGGCTGATTTGTTCTCTATGGTTTCAGAGAAAGAAACCTGATGGTTGGAAGTTTCAGGACAGGTTTTAGTTCTATTTTAAAAATATTTTTGTAACTATCAGAGCCATCCAACAAAGGCAATATAGAACAGTTAGTGCATGGGCCCTGGGGTCAGAAAACCTGATGTGACATTTTCAGCACTACCCCTTACAAGCTGAGTGACCTTGAACAATTCATTTAAAGTCTCTGACCTCGTATACTTACCTATGAATTAAGGGTAATAATAGTAACTATCTCATGTGGATTTTAGTGAGAAATAAGACAACGAATGTAGGGCCCAGGGTCCAGCCTGTAATAAACAGTTAATAAATGGTAGCTAATTATAATTTGAATAATAATGGTTACTAAAGCCTTTGAGAGATAGAACGTTCTCTGTGGAGAGTCATGGAGAGGACGTGGCTTTGGAGTTAGTCTCAAGAAATGACTTTGGAAGACACTTTCCTGATAAGGTCAAAAAAGAGGAAGCCTTCAGTTCTGTTTCACAAACCAAAGGACTTCCTGAATTGCGGTTTCTCATTTAATGTTAGATGAGAAGGTAAAGCAGCGGAGAACACGTGGTCCTCTGTAAGGGAGACTGCAGAGAAGACAGAATGGGTGTCTTAGTCCATTGTGGCTGCTATCATAAAATACCATAGACTGGGTGGCTTAGAAATAATAGAAATGTATTTTGTACATGTCTAAAGGCTGGGAAATTCAAGATCAAGGCAGATTCAGTGTCTTGTCAGGGCCTGATTTCTGGCTCATAGATGGCACATTTTTGCTGTATCTTCAAGTAGTAGAATAGGTAAGGGAGCACTCTCGGGTCTTTTTTATAAGGGCATTAATCCCAATCAAGAAGACTCTACCCTCATGACCTAATCACTTCCCAAAGGCCCCACCTCCTCCAATACCATCACCTCAGGGGTTAGGATTTCAATATATGAATTTTGCAGGCACGCAAACATTCAGGCCATAGCAGTGAGAGTCAAGGCTAGGTGATTCCTTCTCCTCCTCCCCCTTTTAGCTCCCAGGTTGAGGGCAGAGCTGAGCAACAATTACAAGATAGCTTGGTGTGTCCTATACTGGCCTCTGTGTCAAGTGTGAAGGGTATTGAATGCCTAGAAATGTGTATGATCAACTGTGTCAGTTTGAACATGTTGGTTAATCTCTCTGAGCTTCAGCTGCTTCATCTATAAAAAGAAAGGATAACAATACCTATCTCATAGGGCTGTTAGGATAAAACATCCTGATAGATGGGAAGCTCCTTGCAGAGTCTCTGGTGCATGGTGTGATCACTTAGGTTGTTCACACCCTTTCTGAGTACACTGAGAGTCCCTGAGTCTTGGGCAGCATTTGAGTCTCTGTGCTTGTGTGACATATGAAGAACACTGACCACGCATCTTATTTTCTCCGCTATTAGGTCACAAGACAACTCTGTCCGGGACACTTTGACTCTTCCTTCTTCACAAAACCTAACTCAAGACTCCAGTGTGGCTAATACTCACAGCCATTTTTTTTTTTTCTTTCTTGAGGGTCTACTGTGAGTCAGGGACCACGTTGGAAACTTTATATTTTTCTCTCCTTGACTCCTTACACCAGTTATTTATTCACCTATTCCTTTGAATTAATCTTTATTTAATATACATATTAAGCGTATATTATGTTCTAGGCACAGAAGTTGGTGTTAATGCTAATCACCTCTCGAAGGCCTGACCTCCTCCTAATACTATAACCTTGGGGGTTAGGATTTCGACACATGAATTTTGGGGTGACACAAACATGTTCCAGGCACAGTGATAGGTGCTAAGATACAGAGATAAATACCACATTTCCTGTCTTCAAGGAATACCATCTTGTAAAGAAATTTGACTAGTACATAGAAAAATTGTAATATGAGTGTCATTATTTCCACATTACAAACACAGAAACAAAGGATTAGAGAGGTATTAAGATACTAAAGCAGGCCGGGTGTGGTGGCTCACACCTGCGACCCCAGCACTTTGGGAGGCCAAGGCGGGTGGATTACTTGAGGTCAGGAGTTTGAGATCAGCCTGGTCAAACTGGTGAAACCCCATCTCTACTGAAAATACAAAAATTAGTTGGGCCTGGTGGCGTGCGCCTGTAATCCCAGCTACTTGAGAGGTGAGGCAGGAGAATCACCTGAACCTGGGAGGCGGAGGTTGCAGTGAGCCAGGATCATGCCACTGTGCTATAGCCTGGGTGACAGAGTGAGACTCCATCTCAAAAAAAAAACAACAACAACTAAAGCAGGTTTTCAATGCAATTTCCACTGTGCCTCCTTTAACCCTTTTCTGAAAGCTGTAGTTTCCAAAGCCCCTTTATTGAACTCTATGCTCTCCAAGTTGGACGACTGCATTTGGGAAGAAAAGAAACAGAAGAGGAGAGAGAGGGTATTCAGGGAGCAGATAAATGCAATTTAACTGACTTACAGATCCTTTTAAGCAACTGACCTTTATGCTTTCACAGAATCTGTTGAGCTAATTGCATGTTGGGGTGCCCAAATTATTAACATGTAGTAGAGACATTTGTTTCTCAAATGCAAAGTAAAAGTAACTTGCCTCCAAATTCTAGATCTCATTAAATGAGCTAATTCACCTACTGCTTAATTTGCTGGAAGCCCTATGAGTAATTAGGCTGCTGACATCTCCCAAAATTATATTCTTAATTGTTGCATTCTTTTGCATCACAATGAAGCTGGCCAGCCTTCCTCCTAGAGTGCCTGCCTCCTCTCCCCCAATAGCTCTGTGGTGAAGAAAGGAGTGAGTTTTGCATTTAACACACTTACCATCACTATTGTAATTAGGGGGAAATATTAATTAGAAACACAAGACCACCCTAGAGATCCAGCAGATATTTGAAGCAATGGGTTTGGCTGTTTAATTTTTTTTCTTTCTTTCTTTCTTTCTTTCTTTCTTTCTTTCTTTCTTTCTTTCTTTCTTTCTTTCTTTCTTTCTTTCTTTCTTTTTTTTAAGCTAGTCCTGGGCCCTGAAATCCTGCAACTGTTATATTACCAAGGCGAGCTCCTATTTCTTGATATTTTTTACAACAATTTATAAGTGCTTACTGGAGCGGGGCTGCCTTGCTTTGGCTTGTAACCCACAACACAATATTTTACTCTTGAGATGTTGCATCCATTTGTCATAGTAAATGTGTGTGTGCACATGTGCATGTGCGCGTGTGTATGTTTTTATACATTGGGTATGAGCAGCATCTTCTTTACACAAATAGCACTATTCTGGGGAAAATGTACGCCAAGCCATTTCCCGGAGAACCACTGCAAACACATTTCGGGCTCACTGTAGATAGACACTCTAATTGCTTTGAATTTACTTTAGTACTTGACTGAGGATTGCTTTGTGGTGATTATGAAAGAATAAGGAGGCTTCTGCAAGGAGATTTTAGAAAGAAAATATTTGCAAGACATTCTATTTTCAAGTCCCTGTGTGAGACAGCCTCCAGTTGCTGACGTGGGACCAGTGGCAGATCCTGCTGCAGGAATAGCGGCGCTGGGGTCCTCACTCAGTGACTCTTAATTTGTTATGACACATGCATGTGTCCTTACTGCCTTGCTTTTCAGTTGCATGAGGACCTCAGTTTGCTTTTGCTTCCTGGCTGCAGGAGAGCTATTTAGCATTCATGTGGGTCCTTTTGCAGGCAGTTCTGTGCCCAGGCTATGGTCCTCTTCTACTCTGCCCAGTGAGCTCATTGGCCGCCTGGGATTCCCGTCACTCAATGCCCAGAAAATGTTGGCCAGATTTCACCCCTGAATCTTTCAGTGTGACTTTAAATAAGGGTGATGTTCCTATGTTTGGGAAGAGACCCTTTCTGGTTCTTATTCTACCACAAGCTTTATATGTGGGCTTGAACAAGTCATGAAAGTTCTCAAGATCTCTGTTTTATTTAATATGTTGAAGGCCAAGGCTGCTTTGACCTCCAAATTTAGTGAATGTGTACATCTTGGGTGTCATAAATCTGATTCAGAGAGATTGAGCATTTTGAAGACTTATCTCTGTCTGTGTTTTGCCTTCCTAAAGAGGAATGACCAATGATCTAATTGAGTAATGAGAATGGACACGAGGCTTCACCGTACACTGTAAGAGCAGGAATTGGACTCAAACAGATCTGGCTGCAACCCAGCTCCACAATTTAACAGCTCTATGACCTCAGGTCTCACATTCTCTCTGAGCCTTCGTTTTCTCTTTGGCAAAGTAGAACCGCAATACCTACCTCAAGCCCAGCATGAAGATTAAATGAGAAAATATTGGTGAAAGTGTTGAACTCAGTGCCAGGCTTACAAAGCTCAGAAGAAAGAAAGGTTAATTATCATCTTACGTATTTCCCCATCCTCTATGAAAGGATGAGGGGCCAGAATTGAAGCCATAAAACAGAAACTAAAATCAGTAACCAGTAGCAGAAGGCAATGAATGGAAGGAGAAAAATGAGGAATCATCCGACTTAGTTATGATAGAGAATTTTGCTTCCTTGAAGGCAGCTTTGATGAGGTGCATGCTTCTTCCTCATGTGTAGCAGGGTTTCTTAAAGATACTGAAACCACAATAAAAAGACTGACACTAACCACTGCTTGTTGGTCAGGCATTGGGCTTGCTAAGTAATACCCATAGATGAGCTCTCATCCTGACACCAGCTTGGCATTGCAGTTTATGAGGAAACAGACACAACGTCAGATACCTAAGAAGGAACAGAGGTGGGATTTGAATTTTCCAATTCTAAAGCCACCTGGGCTACGTCCACTAGTCCTATTATACTATTAATGTCAAATATATGCTAGACAAGTGCAGCCATTGCTTGTCATTTAGTGAATCACACAGTTGACTTCTCTGCTTCATGTGGGTGATTTACCTAAAATGGGTTCTGTTCTAAAGGACAATTTACCTTTGCATCCTCAATGCCTGGCACATGGTAGCTGCCCACCCAATGAATACTGAATAAGTAAATGGAAAAAGAGTTAAATCTAACTCAAATAGGCCACCAGGATAAAACCACTTCACCTGAGGAAAGGGCCAAACTATTTTCCCTACCTTATTACCTGAAAAATGCTCCCTGCTAGGTAAAACACAGTCCCATTTTCCAGGGCAACTCTGTAGACCAGTGTTTCTGTCACTGAGAGTCTGTTGCCAGTTGATCCAAAGGCAGTATGCAGTTAGCTGTTACATAGAAACTAGTGATGGCATGGGCTTTCAGAGTCACTTATTTTATTCCCAAACAGTTTGGAAATTTTAGAATAAAGCAGAAAAGCAAGTGGGTTAAGAGAAAGGAAACTCATATTTATTGAACAGTATCCTGTTCTAGGCACTAGCTTGGGCATCTGCAATAGAAATAACTTGTGCAATAATGGAGACAATGCTGCCTGTTCAATCCAAAAGGCTCATTTGCTCAGCACTGAATTTATGTCAGGGGACAACAGAGATGGAGGACAATTATGATGTGATTTTTGCCATGTCATTCAGGATATCCATGATACTATTTGGGCAAGGATAGTCACAAGCAGGCAAAAAATATATAAAGCCAGGATATTGAAAGATTACAACCCCCTATACACATGTGCATAGTCTTATCACTGAGGCATAACTATTGACATTAAGCACATCTTCTTTTGATATTTTTCTACAGTTTTTTATTCTATTGGATTACTGCTGTACATACAATTTAGGATCATGCCTTTTCACTGATCATTAATTTATTTTTCATATTATTAATTCAAACTCTGTTAACATAATGCTTAAGAACTGCACAGTAGTCTAGACAGTGGCTATCTCTCCTAATTATTCTCCTCCTCCTTCTTTTCCTCCTCTTTCTTCTTTTCTTCCTCTTCCTCCTCCTCCTTCTTCGCTTATATTTATTGAGAACATTTAATGTATTAGACTGTGAGTTATATCCTTTCCCTATAAAATCTCTTTCAATCCTCATGGTAAGCCTATGAAGTAGATTTTAGTATGCCTTTATAGAGATGAGTATACAGATGAGGCAAATAATGAACAGAAAGGTTAAATAATGTACCTAAGATAATATAAGTATTATAAAGTAGAGCTAGGTTTGTTCTCTCTGACTCTAGAATTGAAGTGTTTAAATACTTCTATTTATGTATTTTTAAGCATTTAGGCTAATTTTGAACTTTCCCTGTCATATTATCCTTGTATGTATGTATGTATCTATCTCTTTATATTCATATATATATATGTTTATCTATCTATATCTATGTGTGTGTGTGTGTGTGTATATATATATACATATATACATGTAGAGAGAGAGAGAGAGTTACTTTTTACTAGTTTATTAAAACAGATTTACAGAAAAGGAATGACTAAGTAAAAACTATGACTATTTTGCAGACTTTTAATACATACTGCCGAACTGCTTTCCAGAAATTCCCTCCACTTACATTTCTGCCAGCAACATATAAAACTGCCCCATTGCATCATATGCCATTTCATATCCATTTTATCAGGAATGGAAAGAGAAGCAAAGAAGCAGATGACTCTACAAGACTAACAGTTTCAGACACCTACAGTATCTGAGCATTCTGGAGTTCCTTGCTGTTATGGGTATAGGAGTGAAGAGGGTGGAGAAGCAACATGGGATAGGGGCAAGAAAGCATGAGTGGGTGCATTAGAATGAGAAGCTTCTAATTTGAAACCCATTTCTTCCATTTACTAATTGGTGGCTAAGAGATGTCATTCTCCCCATTTGTTAATTTATTTCATTGTTCCCAATTGTTGGGAGATGGGGAAGAGTGGAGATAAGGAAGTGCTTGGGAAAAGTGGGGGATATTTCACCTAGACCTTAGATATTGGGGTAGAATTTCAATTGATGAGAAGGTAATAAAAGAGCATTCCATGTAGAGATGACTCGAGTCAGAGCTTAGAGTCCATGGCTGATTCTGGGGACAATAGGGACAGTAATTACTGAGAGTGTGTGGTAGTGGTTGGAGTTGGGGTTGGCATGGCAAGCTTGCCATGAACTTTAAATAGCATTATGAACTTTAAATAGCATTCCAAGCAGTTTGAACTTGATTTATGGATGAAGGGATTCAATTAATGGTTGCTCTGAGGAGAGTGCCTTGATCTGATATGTATTGGTTAGATGATGACTCTGAGTAAATAGAAATCTAGAGACCAAGACTGGACAGAGAGGCACTGGTCAGGCAAGGTCAAAATAATCTACTCAAGATATGAACAAGTCCTTTCTTTTTGTTCATAAAATAGAGGAATTATAGAATAATAGAAGTGTGTAAATTTTAGGGGGAGCTCAGAAGAGGGTTTAAATAAATTCCACTGACATTAGGGATCTAAAGAAGGAATTAGGGGAATCAAAATGTATTGAGTGGGACACATAACCAACCTGCAGGAAGGCTAATTTTATCCCCATTTTACAGATGAGTAAAATGAGACTTAGGTGGGTTATCAATGTACTTAACATAATGTAGATAGCAAGTGATAATGCTGCAATTCAAAGCCAGACACCAAATCCCATTCCATTATATGCCTGTCAAGGCATGCTGGAGGAAGTGACTTCTCATCTGATTCTTTCTTATTTTATTTTATTTATGTATTATTCTATTTTTAAAATTATACTTTAAGTTCTGGGGTACATGTGCACAACGTGCAGGTTTGTTACGTAGGTATACACATGCCACGGTGGTTTGCTGGCACCCATCAACCTGTCTCCTACATTAGGTATTTCTCCCAATGTTATCCCTCCCCTAGCCCCCCATCCCCCATAGGCCCTGGTCTGTGATGTTCCCCTCCCTATGTCCATGTGTTCTCGTTGTTCAACTCTCACTTATGAGTGAGAACATGTGGTGTTTGGTTTTCTGTTCTTGTGATAGTTTGCTGAGAATGATGGTTTTTAGCTTCATCCATGTCCCCGCAAAGGGCATGAACTCATCCTTTCTTTATGGCTGCATAGTATTCCATGGTGTATATGTGCCACATTTTCTTTATCCAGTCTATTATTGATGGACATTTGGGTTAGTTCCAAGTCTTTGCTATTGTAAATAGTACTGCAATAAACATATGTGTGCATGTGTCTTTACAGTAGAATGATTTGTAATTCTTTGAGTATATACCCAGTAATGGGATTGCTGGGTCAAATGGTATTTCTAGTTCTAGATCCTTGAGGCATCACCACACTGTCTTCCACAATGGTTGAACTAATTTATACTCCCACCAGCAATGTACAAGCATCCCTATTTCTCCACATCCTGTCCAGCATCTGTTGTTTCCTGATGTTTTAATGATCGCCATTCTAGGCATGAGATTGTATCTCATTGTGGTTTTGATTTGCATTTCCATAATGACCAGTGATGATGAGCATTTTTCATATGTCTGCTGGCTGCATAAATGTCTTCTTTTGAGAAGTGTCTGTTCATATCCTTTGCCCATTTTTTGATGGGGTTGTTTGTTTTTTTCTTGTAAATTTGTTTAAGTTCTTTGTGGATTCTGGATATTAGCCCTTTGTCAGATGGATAGATTGCAAAATTTTTCTCCCATTTTGTAGGTTGCCTGTTGACTCTGATGATAGTTTCTTTTGCTTTGCAGAAGCCGTTTAGTTTAATTAGATCCCATTTGTCAATTTTGGCTTTTGTTGCCATTGCTTTTGGTGTTCTAGACATGAAGTCTTTTCCGGTGCCTGTGTCCTCAATGGTATTGCCCAGGTTTTCTTCTAGGATTTTTATGGTTCTGGGTCTTACGTTTGAGTCTTTGATCCATCTTGAGTTGATTTTTATATAAGGTGTAAGGAAGGGGTCCTGTTTCAGTTTTCTGCACATGACTAGCCAGTTTTCCCAGCACCATTTATTAAATAGGGCATCTTTTCCCCATTGCTTATTTGTTTCAGGTTTGTCAAAGATCAGATTGTTGTAGATGTGTGGTGTTATTTCTGAGGCCTCTGTTCTGTTCCACTGGTCTATATGTCTGTTTTGGTACCAGTACCATGCTGTTTTGGTTACTGTAGCCTTGTAGTGTAGTTTGAAGTCAGGTAGCATAATGCCTCCAGCTTTGTTCTTCCTGCCCAGGATTTTCTTGGCTATGCAGGCTCTTTTTCGGTTCCATATGAACTTTAAAGTAATTTTTTTGCAATTCTGTGAAGAAAATCAGTGGTAGCTTGTTGGGGATGGCATTGAATCTATAAATTACTTTGGGCAGTATGGCCATTTTCACGATATTCATTCTTCCTATCCATGAGTATGGAAGGTTTGTCCATTTGTTTGTGTCCTCTCTTATTTCGTTGAGCAGTGGTTTGTAGTTCTCTTTGAAGAGGTCCTTCATATTCCTTGTAAGTTGTTTTCCTAGGTATTTTATTCTCTTTGTAGCAATTGTGAATGGGAGTTCACTTATCTCATCTGGTTCTTAAAGAAGACACAGCCTTTCTCCAGGTGGATAATTATGGATGAAGGCAATTCTTGTGGTGGGTCCGGGGGATGTCGTCAGCAAAGGCATTGTATGGTGAGAACCTGTGGTCCCTTTGAGAATGTACAAATCTGTGTTCTGCTTTCAGAGATGTGTATATATTAGACTTATTACTCCATTGCTAACTGAGTGTTCACTATGTGCCAAATTCTATTCTTAGTGTTCAAATCTATTGATTAGTAAGTGGCAGAGTCGGCATTTTAACCTGGATGTCTTGTTGCAGAGCTCTTAACAACTTTGCAATGTGGCCTCTTATCTACAATGTTGCGGGTAGGACCCATTCTTTCCTGGCCCCAAATTGAAGGAAACAAATGAAGTCAGTCTATTATTTTCTTCCTCTAAAGAGGAGAGGAATGCTTTTAATGAAGACAGGGATTAATCAGGGTGATCTGGATATCTCTGTTTTTTAAAAAATAAGGGTGACAATAATGACAGCCATCCTTTCTGGAACTATGCTATTAGCTAATCATTGTGTGGAATTCTCTATAGATCTCTCTTGAACAAACACCAGTGGGCAGGAGTGGGTTTGTTGCCCCAGGAGAATACTGATTGGCTGAGGCATAGGATAGTAGAGTGGAAATGGAAGGAGAAACAAGCATTGTAACCTGTACAAAAGAATGTGGACCTTAGGATAGGGCAGTGGGGAGCCATGGAAGAGTTTGGAGCAAATGACTGATGAAATCATGTTGAAAGTTACAAACTCCATTTCTGGTGATTGGGAGAGGAAAGGGAAACTGATTTCATGAGTGTTAGGAGACCAGAGGCATCTTATTGTGGTAATCCAGATTACTTGGCAAGGATCTGGATTAAAACAGTGGCAGTGGTAATGGAGAGAAGGAAATGAACCCAAGAATAATGACAGACTCAACAAGACTTAATGTCAAATTGCATGTGATGAGTGAGGCAAAGAGAGGCATTAGGGATGGCACCCATTTTACATCTTCACAGATTACTTATTTCCTTGCTTGGCTGAAAAACTACCTCTCTACAGAGAAAGTATATCTAATGTTGGGGCCAGAAGCAATGCAGTTGCTTTCTTTTTCGGTGCAGAGAAAGCTAAAAGTGTCACATAGTGATATGCACCACTAATAAAAATCCAGATCCCTCCTCTCCTTCCCGCTTAAGGAGAAAAATTATTTTGCTCATAACTTTGATGAGCCTGATGAATGTTTGGATATCATCCCAAGCACGCAAACCAACCAGACGCTGGGGAAATTATTAATATTTCACTGGTGGACTTGGTTGAGCAAACACAATAAAAACAGGCTTGGTGTCATTGCATACTGGAAAAGCAGATGGCAGTCGAGCAAAGCTGCATACAGCAGTTTGAAATTTTAAATTAAATCAATTTGAAGCTTTGCTTGTGCCTCAGGCAATATTTCCCCTCAAATGAAGGAGACAGAGGAGGTGAACCTGTTATTACTGAGATGGTTTGGTGGTGGCTGCTGAGTGGTGCACTGCTTTCTATCATGTGAGGTAGCCTGAGAGCCGGAAGGGAGATGGGCTAGTTCTGACCCAACTTTCAGAGTGCAATCCAGGGAAATGAAAAACCAGAGAAGCCCCCAGTTCTTTAAAATTTCAACCTAGTCCACGAAGTCTGAAGCTCCTGGTCCCAAGGTTATACGGCTCTCCATCTTGGGGGGCTTGGTGCTCTAAGACTTGGCGTTGCCAAGAAGTGCCTTGCACCAACTTGCCCAGGTCAGGGATTCAGTGAACAGTGACCCAACTGGAGCAAAGAAGTCTCCGATGTTGACAGCACTATAGTTCTTGGAAGTATTGCTGGCTGCCCTTAGTAGGTAAGGATGAATTGGCAATTGTCTTTGAAGTCCTTAAGTTTGTCAAAAGCACATTTGTAGTGTTACGGACTGGACAGCTTGGTTTTTATTCAGTCAGTCCCTTTACTTCTTTTCTGTGGAAGCCAGCAAAGTGAATTCATCTAGACCAGTGGTTTTCAACCCTGCTGTGCATCATAATCATCTAGAAAGTTTTATAATACATTTCATCGGATCCCACCCTTAGAGATTCTGGTGTCATGAGTCTGGGCCTTTGTTCTCAGCTGTATTTAGCATAGTACCTGAGACATGATAAGTAGTCAAACTTCTGTTTAATAAACAAGTAAATTAAATAATTTGCATATCCCTATACAAACCATATACCCTAGCTGCTATATCTTGCACATTCTTTTCCCTTGCATCAAGTACCATTCCCTTTTTATTACTCCTCCTAGCCTAAATAACTTCTATCCTTCAGGACACAAGTCATGTTTTGCCTGCTTCAATTGGAATATGAATTTGTCAGTCTAACAGTCTTTTGCTTTCCTATCTGTATGCCCACAGGGTTCAGTATTGCCCTCTTTAAACACTCAACACCTTGGATTGCAGTGGTCTGCTTCAGTGATTGTCTTAGTGAGTTCAGGCTACTGTAATATATTATCACAGATGGGTGAGTTAAACAACAGACATTTGTTTCTCATGGTTCTGGAGGCTGGGAAGTCCAGATCAAGGTGCTGGCACATCTAGTGTCTGGTGAGGACTCACTTTCTGGTTTTGCTGTTGGTTGTCCTCTCATTATGTCTTTGTGTCTTTTAAAGGTAAAGGCACTAATCCTATTCATGAGGGCTCCAACTTCACAACTTAATCTCCCGAAGGTCCCACCTCTTAATGCCATCATATTGGGGGTTAAGATTTCGACACATGAATTTGAGGGGAATACAAACATTCAGTCCATAGCAGTTATTGTAGGCTGTGAGTTTTTTTAAAGCTGGGACTAGGCCTTTGTATCTCCAAGCTATACACCAGTTGCAGTACCTGGCATAAAGTAGACACTCAGGAAATGGCAGTTTTGCTATAATAGGAATTACTATATATATGGATTACTATATATCTATATATTATGGATAATAATCATGTATGGAGTATTTTTGTATGTGGTATACATAACAAATGTGTAAAAACAGTGGACACATAAATGTATAGATGATATCTGGTATGGAAGATATATGTGCAAGACATATGCATGTGGGCCATGGGTATGTATGTAAGGCATATGCACATTGATTAGGTGTTTAAGTCAGTGGCTTTCAATTCTGGCTACCTGTCAAATCACCTAGGGATCTTTTTCAATATATAAATTGTGGAGTCTTGCTGCCTAAAATTTCCAATTCAGGATGTCTAAGACGGCACCTAGGAATTGGTATTATATATCTATCTATCTATATATCTATATATATATAACATTCTAAACCAAAGTTGAGAGCCATTCATTAAATTGGTAAGTATTTGTGTCCATCATATGCTGGTGCTGTTGTAGACTCCAGAGATACACCAGTGAACAAGACATAGTCACTGCTTTCATGGCACTTTTATTTGAGTGAGGGGAGGTAGATGAGACACAATTCAATAAATGCCCAAAGACTTAAAAATGGCACTCATTGTTAAACAAAGAAAATAAAATGGGGTAATGAAATGGAGAGCTATTGGGGTGAAGTTGGGGATGGGCAGGGAAGCTCTCTCTGAGGAGATGACATCTGAGCTGAAATCTAAATGAGGAGACAGTCAAATGAAAATCTGGGGATGAGGTTGTGAGGACAGCAAACATAATTGCCCTGAGACAGAAATGAGCTTGGCGTGTTTCATGAGCAGAAAGAAGGCTAGTGTGCCTGGATCAAGGACAAGGAGGCAGGGGTGGGGTGAAATAAAGTCAGAGAGGGGGAAGAAGGTCAGGTCATACTGGGTGTTTTATGAAATGGTAAGGAGTTTGGATTTATTTGGAAAAATTGAGTAGCCATTTTGGGAGGGTCTATGGTAAGAGAGTGAAATGATCCCATTAAGGATTTTGAAAGACTATGCTGGGTATTATCTGGAGAAGTCACTATAGGGAGGCAAGAATGGTGATGGTGACAGAGACTGCTTGGAGGCTAATATAAAAGTCTGGGAAAGAAATGATGGCGACTTGGAGAAGAACGCTAGTAGTGAATGTGGAAAGAAGTGAATAGATTGGGGATGTTTTGAAGGTAGACCCAGAAGAACTTGTTAAAGGACTCTTTATTCAGGTTTCAAGGGGAAACAAGAGTAACACCCTAGTTTTTGAGTCACAGGGTAGATGGTGATGCCAGGTTTTAGGATGTGTATAAGAAGTATCATTTTCAGGGAGATGTATCTGTTGTGTTTAAGGGCTTTGTGTACTTAAAATTGATGTACATTTGACATGTCTATGTAATGTACATGTATAGAGTATGTGTTTAGAAGATGTATATTTATTGTATTAGCTTCCTGCAGCATCTGTAACAAATTGCCACAAATCTGGTGGTTTAAAACAACAGAAATTTATTATCTCATTGTTCTGGAGGCTAGAAGTATCAAATCAATTTCACTGGGCCTAAATCAAGGTGTTGGCAGGCCTGCATTGCCTCTGAACGCTCTAGGGGAGAATGCAGTCCTTGCCTCTTTGAGCTTCTGGTGGCTGCAGGCATTCCTTAGCTTGTGGCCACATCATTTCAATCTTCAAGGCCAATGTCTTAAAATCTCTTTCTGCCCTGTCTTCACATCACCTCCTCTTTGTGTAAATATCTATGTGTCAAATTTCCCTATTACTCTCTCTGATTAGGATACCTGTTTTTACATTTAGGGTCTGCATGGATAACTCATACTAGTCCCCCCATCTCAGAATCCTTTACTTAATCACATCTATAAAGACAGATTTTTTCTAAATAAGGCAACATAAATAGGCTCCAGCGATCAGGACTTGTGCATATTGGAGTGTATACTGTTTAAAGAAATATACAGAATATAGCTTAGTTTGTGTATGTGCATGAAGAAATATGCAGAATCTAGCTTAGTTTGTGTGTGTGTACATGCTCAGGAACATGTGTACATATGGCTGACTAAGGCTATAGGTGAATGTGAGGGCCTGTGTGGCCCACACAAAGAACACCTTTCCTATGTCCTTATATCAAGAGATGCTCCCAGTGACTTGGCTGCTCAGAAAGTGTTCATAAACATAGCTCTTTCTTGTTTTTCTCTCCAAATCCAGTTGGTGTCAGATCCTGAGGCCATCTCAAGAGAAGACCTTCTGTTGGCTGATATAACTAGTTATACTTACTTATACCCTTTGAAAGTATTTCAGAGTTGTTTCCCAACATCTAAGCTTATGAAGTCCCCTTTTAGGTGAAAAAATTGGCCAGGTGTGTGGCGACTCATGGGAATAATCCCAGCACTTGGGGAGGCTGAGGTGGGAGGGCCACTTGAGGCCAGGAGTTCGAGACCAGCCTGGGCAACATAGCAAGACTCTGTCTCTACAAAAAATAAAATTAAAAACATTAACCAGGTATGGTGGCTCATGCCTGTAGTCCTAGTTACTGGGGAGCCTGAGGCAGAAGGATCCCTTGAGCCAAGGAATTCAACGCTGCAGTGAGCTATGATTGTACAACTACACTTCAGCCTGGACATCAGAGTGAAACCCTGTCTCTAAAAAATAAAAATATTAAAATAAAATAAATTTTAATGATGTTTATTCTCCCAACTACCATGAGACTAAGTTTTATGTGGTTAGTGCCTATTGATTGAGAATGACACATTAACAAAAAGTTAAAATGAATCAACTTATGCTTTTGAATAAATATGTACTTTATTAATCACAATGGTATCTACTTATAGTTTTAAAATACTATCATCTGGATGTACATAGCATTGCTTTTTCAGGCGATAGGAAATGTTTTGTGTGCATATGGATTTATGACAATTTGAAATAAGTCTAAAACCCCTTGGGGGATCTGTAGCCCACAATTTGGGAGATATTGTAGTGGAAATGGGGTTCACAAACTGATGCCTCATAAACCAAATTTGACTAGCAGGTATATCTGGTTTGGCTAACTGATTATTATTGGTACATAATGAAAGATATTGCCATTGGTGGGACCTGCCCTCTTCTGTGGATTTCAGACCCACCATTCACAATTTTACTAAACTTTATTGCTACACTTCTTTACAAATATCTTGAAGACATTTGATTTGTGATCCCGGATACAAAATAACTATATGCCTTTGACAGAATTCAGCTATGTATAATTTGTAAAATACTTTGATATTTCTGACCTCATTTCATTTTCCCCAAAACTCCTGTGATAGAGATGGGATAATATCATTCCTGTCTTACAGATGAGTTAACTGAGACTCAAAGAGTTTAACAACTGGCCTGATGTTGCCAAGCTGGCAAGTGGAATTGCTGAGGCTGGAATCTAGGCCTTCTGGCCCTTTCCCTCACACTACACCATGTACCTTATAATTTTTCAGAACTCTAGACCTAGCTAGTTGTTACTGTCAAAGGATAGTCATGAAAATCAGGTCTGATGAAATAGGAATAAGCAGCTGACCTTCAGCAAAGGCAAGGTAGGAAGTCTGCCCATTTCAGCTCAAGACACTCATAAGTAGAGACAGGCAGTGTGCAGGAAAGCAAATAAGGGAGTTTGTGAACAATAGACAAATTTTGTCCAAGTCAAGGGAAACTCAGCAATTGTTGAAGGCAGACAGCAAAGAGTAGAAAAAACACTTCTCATGAAGCCAAAAGATCCAAGTCTTGCCTTGCTTATGCCTAGACAAACTGACCTCTCAGAATGCCTCCTTGGTTTTGTTTCTCATCTGTAAATGGGGCTGATGATGTAACACCCACCTCCCTGATTCACTGTCATGAGGATCAAACTGATTCAAAGAAGCAAAAATGTCCTGAAACCACTACAATAAATGGTAGCTCTGTGGTCTGTAGTAAAGTCCAGGGGGCTTTCAGATAACATTTGTTTTTCCTATGGGGAATTAATTTTCAATCTACATAGTCAATGAAGTTTTTTTTTGTCTCTCATAGGAAATTGTGGGTTTCTTGGAAGGCTCTGGATATCTGTGACAGACCTCAGGGACACAGATAATTTGAAAATTGCATGGTGAGTTTCCATAAAGGTCATTGCACCAGAAATCTAAGATATCAAAGTTCCTATGGATTAAGAGCTTTGTTTACTACAACCAGTTTAGATCTTAGAGGTTGAATTTGAAAGGGAGTGACTGTGAGCTTTGGATTCAAAGGGAAAGTATTTCTTATTCATGTTGATTAAGCACCAGCTTTCTATAGTATCTTCTGGGTAATCTGCTGATTTTAGCTGAAATTATCTCCAAAAGTGGCGGGTCCCCATCAATGGCAGTTTTCCTCAAGCGCCGTAGATATCCTTTTCTCATGTTTTAAATTAAAGATTTGATTGTGGCTTCAGAATATCCCAGCAAGGAGCCCTGGGAAAATTGGCATTTTCTCCATGTTGCTATTCCCACTGCAGCGATTCAGGGTGACCCCCACTGGCAAAGCTGACCCTTTGAAGGAGGAAAATGTTGGTGGCTGTAGTATTCTCTACCATGTGTTTTTTGGCTGCTCCTGAAGCCAAGCTCTCTCACCTCTAGGTGAGATCCATTTTTCTTTGCCCTTTTAGGATTTATTGACTATAGTCTTTGTGTTGGTCCATTCAGGTTGCTGTAACAAACTACCATAGACACGATGGCTTATGGACAATAAGCTATTATTTCTCATAGTTATGGAGGCTGGAAGTCCAAGATCAAGGCACCATCTGATTTGATGTCTGGTGAGAACTCTTTCTATTTCATAGACGGTGCCTTCTCTCTGTGTCCTCACATGGTAGAAGAGGTGAGAGAGCTTTCTGGAGTCTCTTTCATCTCATTAGATTCCCATTAAGGGCGTGAATTCCATTTATAAAGGCTTTACCTCTAAGACCTAATCACTTACTAAAGGCCCCACCTCTTAATACCATTACATTGTGGATTAGGATGTCAATAATGAATGTTGGAGAGACACAAATATTCAGCCTGTAGCAATATCTAAAGCACAAAACTGATCTAAAGTAGAAGAGTGTAAATCCCCATTTAACTAGAACCTAACAAGCAGAAAGTTAATAACTAGGTAGAATCCTGGTCTCAAAAGTACTATATGATGATTGTTGATTTGATTGCAAGAATCAAATGAAACAGCATAGTTTCAAGTACCTTACAATCTTATATGTAAAGAAGCAGTTTTTAACTTAGCTTACACTGAGGACTCCTTTTTAACATCAATAAGTTTTGTGATGCATGAGGATACTTATACTTTGATATCTGTTGGATATGAGAACTAAAAGCTGTAATGAATAGTATAGTGTCATTTTTAAATGAACTTGGATGTTATGTAAATACAAACATTACATCAAAACATACATATATTCTACTCGGGAGGCTGAGGCACGAGAATTGCTTAAACCTGGGAGGTGGAGGTTGCGGTGAGCCAAGATGGCTCCACTGCACTCCAGCCTGGGTGACAGAGTGAGATCCTATCTCAAAAAATATATATATAAATAAAAGTAAATTTTAAAAACATACATATATTAACATTTGTGAAGCTCTAAAAGTACATTTGAAAAGTGTAAAGTGATATATTGGTAAGACTTTTTTTTAGTTTACAGACAATATTTGATGGCATTCATATTCTTGAACTCTTTGTAAAAATTTCATGGTTCTTACAGGATTTGTTACCCACTGGATGAGAAATTCGGAATAAATTCTTAAATTAGTTTTGCTAATTATGTGAAAATATCTATATACATATAATGCTTATGGTGATCACGTAACCAGACTATTTAATTTTCTCTTAAATTATTCCAGATAAACAAGAATGATACTGAAAGGTTTAAGAACTTATACATATTAGTGCATTGCCTCTGATTAACTAAAAATTGAACAGTATACAAATTATGCAACTTTATGAAGTTGAAAGGGATTTTAAAGATGAGAAGTCTTACGATGCAGGGAAAGAATTCAGAAAGAACTAGAGTTATAGCTGGGTAGGTTCTACAGTTTTCAAGCTGTGAGCCATTGAATAAATTCAGCTTTGTAAGCCTCAGTTTTCTGCTTTGAAACTTGGACATAAAACACATACCTCACAGTATCGTTGTGAGGCTCTGCATGTAATAGGTATTTGGCAAATAGTAGCTATGTTCTAACCCATCTCTCATTTTTTTAGATGAGAAACTTAAGGGTCAGAAAGATTGAGACTTAAAGAACACGCACAAAAAATGGTCTGTAGCATTTCGAAGATCTACTGACTCATGCATCTGTGTTCTACCGCAATTCTTAAATTTATACTTTCTGCTTCCTATCCTCGAAACATGCATGCCAATTTTCCAGGCTGGAATTGGCAGTGAGCTGACAGACAGAGGTTTGTTTTTTAAAAAGATGAGAGAACAACTTGCAGAATCTTTTATCCAAATTCTCAGAATGTTTTTTAGTAAATGCTTCTTATCCTAAGAACTCAAATGGTGGCTTTCTGCTCTTCCTGCCTTCTCTGATTCTGTTGCCACTTAGCCCTGCGGTTCACAGCTAATTAAAAAGGGATGGAAGAAAATTATACCTCTGTTGATGCTATTGTTTTAATCTATCTCAAAAGCTTCTTAACAGCAAAGCAACAAGCAGTGGATGAGAGGGAGTTCTCTGTGACAAACAGGACACAGGAGACCCTAGAGTCATTTCCATGAACCCACTATCATTTCATTAAGTGACTTTTACACTTTCTGTTGTTAAAGATTCACACACACACACATCCACACACTCTTTCAGACAATATTTCGGCATCTGCTGAGTCCTAGGAAAGAAGGGAGCTGCAGATAAGAATAAAATATCATTTATATTGTGTATTTATTACATGTTCGGCGCTATGTTTTCCTTTTCATTCCCTCAGTTAATAATCACAAGGATGTGTTCCTGTTTTATATACGAAAATGCAAAAATTTTGAGAAGTTAAGATCCCACAGCTAAGTGTCAGAGCTGAAATCCAAAATTACATCTTTATCATCAGTCCTTATAATAATCATTCACCACCTTCATCAAAATGCCTGTCATTTATTGAACACTTACTATGAGTTGAGCCCTCTTCTAACTACTTTGAATATGTTAATTTATTTAAGTACAATTTATGTTTTTAACTAGTTTCGTCCTCACAACCCCCCTGTAAAGTAGCTACAATTATTATCTCCAAAATGTCCCAAGGTGCTGCAGCTGGTAACCCAGTTAGATTCTAGAGCTGCACGCTTAACCACACTGCTCTGTCTGAATCAACACCAGATATCTTCCAACTCTACACCTTGTCCCTCTAGGGCTTTGGGTGCTAGTAAGCCTTTCAAGAGCTTCGTAGGAACAAGGGTAGCACATCTTATTGAGCCATAATAAGGACACAGAGTATGGATCCAATTCAGGTATACCTAGGTTAAGGTACTCCTGTGTATTATGATGATGTTCATCACAGCCTTGATAGTGGGTAGCAAGTACAGTTCAGGATCAAACAGGTGAGCATTACGGGTCATCTGGCTTCCTTGTTGTTTAACAAAGCAACACCTATTTTAACATGGCATAACAGTGTAACCAAGTAACTACCCATAAGGAAAGGCTTTAAGGTGCTCTCCACCTAGGGACAGTGCTAATTAATGAGAAATAGGCAAGACAGTCTGGCCAGCACCTTGGACAGCCCCACTGTAGCTGTGGCTCCCATGGAAAGGTGACCTACAATCTGCATCTCTGCACTATGCAACAGGCCTTGCCCTGAAGCTGAAACTTTAAAAGCTCTTGACATTCTTGTGTGTGTGTGTATGCATGTATGTGCACACGTGCACCTTCATTCATTTAAAAAATTTATTTTATTGCAGTAAGGACACCTGAGATCTACCCTCTTAAATTTTAAGTGTAAACTAAAAACCAGTAGTGTAAACTACAGGTACCATGTTCAACAGGTCTATGCAAAGATACTTAACATCACTAATCAATATGAAAACGCAAATCATGACCACAAGATGAATAAGCTCTTAACATTCTTTCCCTAGACTTAAAACAGTGGTTCTTAACCTTCTTGGTATATGTACTCTTCTAAACAGTGAATGAAAGTGAAACACAGATGCCCAGAAAAACTGGAAATGTGTACATACACGAAAAACTTAACCTAAATTTTAGATTATCAAAAAAAATCTCCTTGGCATTCGAGTTAAGGCCTCTGTTCAGTTAAATATTGCTAGGTAACGAATTACCCCAAAACATAACTAAAATAACAATGTGTTATTTCTCATGATTCTGTGGGTTAGCTGGGAGGTCCCTCTGCTGGTTTCCCCTGGGCTTATTCATGCAGCTACATTCTGCTAGCAGGTGAGCTGAGGTGAAAAGTCCAACGATAGTTTCACTCACATGTCTAGTGGTGGGTGCTGGATGTTGGCTGGGTGCCTCAGTTCTTCCCCAGGTGGCATATTCTCCTCCAGCAGGTTGCGCCAGCTTCTTTACATAATGATGAGGGGGCAACATTCCTCCTTTTAGGTCCTAGTCTCCAGAGCCCACAAAAAGTCAGCTTGATATTCCAATGGCCAAAACAAGTGCAAGTCTAGCCCAGATTCCAGGGGTCAGCTCTTCCTGAAAGAAGCTGCCAAGAATTTTTAACCATATTTAATTTATCGCAACCTCCTTAAGCTATCTGATCAAGACAGACCGATATTAAAAGTAGTACAGTTCTTTCCTTGCTCTTCAATATGATTCTGCCCTAACCCATTACTTTATATAACACTGCTGCATTTTGTATGCACTGCTATTATAATACTAATCCATTTGTGCATTGAATAAACAATTATTGAAGATCATTTGTGAGCTAGGCAAGATGCTAACTCTTTCTTAAAATTTACATTAGCTCATCAAGTTAGTATAAGAATTTATCAGATTTCCTCTCCCCCCCCGCCATTTAAAGATGATGACACTGAATCTCAGAAAGATAGAGAAATTTGCCACAATGCACATAACAAGTACATGGAAGTCTTCCACTTTAATGGTCTATTTCTTATTTGCATTTAGTCTGCTGCACAGCTGCTCTCCATTTACCTGTCTACCTCCCCTAAAGATTGTGAGCTCCCTGAGGACATGACTCTGCATTTCTCCTTTGTGCATTATCAGTCAATACAACATTTCTGAAAATGGCTTGTAGGCTGTCAGTAAATTGTTGTTGGATGGAGAGATGAAGGGGCTTCCAAACTGTGGATGCTATATTCCTTCCTCTACAAGTATTTCTAGTTTATGTATTCTGAGCTCATGTGGTTGAGAACAATACAATTGGAAATCATAATCAATAACCTTTATCAAAAGCTTATTGCATACCAAAAATTCTTAAGAATTTTTGCATATTTATTTAATGTATCCTCACCACCTATGACACAGATCCTATCAACTCGATTTTGTTACGAAGAGGCCAGAGGTTAGAGAATAGAATTAGATCACCCAAAGTGATACCCCTATGAGGTGGCAAAGCACAACTTGAACTCAGGACTGTTTGACTCCTGATGCCATATTCTTGGTAATTGGATTATTCAATTCACCCAATCCTATTGCCTTTCTGAAGAAAAGTTTATTAGTTCATGTGAAGAGAAACAACTATGAGATAAATCTCTCCAGTCCCTACCAAATAAAATAGAAAGAAAGCTGACACTCTCTACGATCTGACTTTGTCTTTCTAGCCTGTTTCCTACTCTGTCTCTCTATAGATTCTGTATTCCTACCAGCTACTCACGCTGTCTATTGTGTGGCCTTCAATACCCTACCATATCTCTTTGCCATCCATTCTTCACACATGAATGTTCCATCCATTCTTCATACATTGGAATTCTCAGTCTTTATAACTAGCCTTAGTGAGTCTTCTTGGGTGAAACACTTTTTTTAGTTCCTGCAGTTGCCAGGAACTGTCTATTTCTCAATATTCCCCCAGCAAATAATGTCTACCTTTATTTGCCTTATTCCATCCCAGTTCACTGTTTACATGCCTATCTTCCCCTAGACAGTGAACAACTTCCTGCCTCCCTCTTTCCTTCCTTCTTCTCTTGTTTTCAATAGATTTTATATTTCTGCTGTGTCCCAGGCTCTATGTTATAGCCTAGGACTATAGAAATAACTAAGACGTAAATTCTGCCATCGGATAACTTACAGTGTTCAGTACAGGAAAGCCATTGAATAAGCATTGAATGAATAAATGAATGAGCTTGCAGTCTAGTGGGGAAGGCAGGGGTGTAAACAATTGTAATGTCAAATCTATGCTGGAAACATGAGTAGTGCCTCACATTATAGACACTCGGTAAATACTCATCCATTTATTTACTCTCTGTACTGAAATAGGCCTAGGTTCAAATCTTGATCTTACGTACTTGGTAATTTTGAGCAAGTCACTTTAGCTTTCTGATGCTCAGTTATCAAAGCTGTGAAGCAATCAATAGTTACTGACCTCATAAGGTTCTGTGAAAATTAAATATGTAGCAAGTGTCTACAGTAAGAGCTCAATGTATTTCAGTATTCTACATTCCCCACTTAACTTAATTCCAGAAAGAATATACAGCAATACATTGTTGGATGAATTAATGAGTGAATAAATTAATGAATAAGTGAATGCATGAGGCAAGGTTTGAGTGGAGTAAAACTGCAGGGCATGATGATACAGACAGACCCTGCGGGGCAAGAGAGCATCAACTCTCTCTAGGGGGATCAGAGCCACTAAAGCCCTGGAAATCACCCAGTTCTGTTACCCCTAGCCCCTCCCCAGAGGCCATGTCCTTGCTCCTCCCCTTCACAGGGGGCCCAAACAGCTTGTTTTTCTCCTCTTTGTGTGTTGGGGATATGTGATTTTACTGTCAGCATGGTGTTTCTAATGAAAGGCAAATGGTGTCCAATGTGACTTGGAGAAAAACATACAAACAACAACAAAATTATATGTTCTTTCTTCCTGTAGTGTTCGCAGGGAGAATATGTGACTTGTTTGCTGTCAATACAGCTTATAATGACACGGTGCACAGAAGCACTGCCAAATGTGTGCGGCATTCATTATACACATGTATTAAATGTAATGCGATATGAGTTTGGTGGAGAGCAGATGAGAGCTGCCCTGGGGCTGATGTAGAGTTACAGCACCTCTTCCCAGGGGATGATTACTGGGGAAAGGGGAAGTGGGCAGCAGCATGGGCGTGACGCAGGGTGTCTAGAATTTTCAGGACTGATTCTGGGCTAGATTGAGAGAAATGATCAGCTCAAAGGGTCCTTAAACTTTATTTCAACAACAAGAAATCATTTAATGATCAATTCTTGTGCTCCTACTAAGTGCCGGGCTTGTAATAGGTTCTGGGAATAAGATTCTTCACCAGCTTTCAGGACGTTCACAGATTAGCAAGAGAGACAAACAGATGGAGAGAGAATAACGGTGCACCGTGATTGGTAAATGCAATGATCTAGAAGCAGAGGTTCATGTGAAACTACAGATAAGATACCTAACCCAGCCTAATGTCACTTTTTCCAAGGTGCCTTCCCTAACTCTTCATATGTGACCAGGTCACTCTGTAATATGCTAATATGCTTGCATGGCACCCTGAGCCTTTTCTTCATGGCATTAGTCATGGTCTAAAGTGAGTTATGTGTATGATAATTTCATCAATATCTGTTTGGCTTCTAGACTCTAAGCCCAGGAAAATAGGGACCTCATTTGTTTTGCTTACCATTATATATCCAGCACCTAGCACAGTATCTGATATTTTAATTTGTGGTTGAATGAATGAATGAATACTGTCATATGTGAGCTTAATTTTGAAGGACATGGAAGAAGTAACCCAGGTAAAATGGGCAAGAGGAAAGGTGGGCAAAAGGAGGGGGAATGAAGCATGTTATATTATAAAGGCATGTAAGAAAATATAGCATAAAATTGGGGGAAAAATAAGTAAAAAATTTTAAAAGTGGCTCTTGAGGTTTTTATTTTTTTTTGTTTTGTTTTTTTTTTGAGACAGGATCTCACTCTGTTGCCAGGCTGGAATGCAGTGGTACATAATTGCAGCTCACTGCAGCCTTAACCTTTCAGGCTCAAGTCATCCTCCCACCTCAGCCTCCCAAGTAGCAGGAACTACAGGAACTACAGGCACATGCCACCATGTGTGGCTAAATTAAAAAAAAAAATTGTAGAGATTATGTTATCCAGGCCGGTCTTGAACTCCTTGCCTCAAGTGATTCTCCCACCTCAACCTCCCAAAGTGCCAGGATTATAGGTGCAAGCCACCACACCTGGCCTCTTCCTGGGATTCGTAAATGTATTATTCCATTTTCTTGGGGAGCCTGAACCAACATTTCAGTGATGAGCTAGGCACTAGTGTGGCTGTTGAATCAAATCATGTCAGAAGGTAAGAAGTTTTTTTCTAAGTGGTGAGATGATCATAGGAAGGAGGATGTCAGTACCTAGTTGATGAAGCTTATTGGAGAAAATGGCTAGACAAAATTGATGTGGGTGAAAATGTCTCTGTACAAATACACTATGCCCATGGAAAAATAAGAGTAATAATAATAATAATGATGACTAATGTTTATTGAGAAGTTATATACCAGGCAGATACGGTGATATTTAACTTCCATGTGCTATCACAGTCAGAATTCACAGCAAAATTTTAAGGTAGGCACTATAAAGATCCCACTTAAAGATGAGCAAGTCGAGACCTAGTGAGGTTAAGTAACTTGCTCAAGATAGTCTAGTCAAGCAGAGGCATAGCCAGGATTTGAATTGGGATCATTTGACTTCTGAAACTACTCTTAACTCTCAAGTTGCTGAACCAGACTTTAGATCGCCACTCTCTTAATTTAACTCCAAGTTCAGTTGGCTCCCTCATTCTGTGAACTCAGCTTTTTTTTTTTTTGAGACAGAGTTTCACTCTTGTTGCCCAGGCTGGAGTGCAATGGCGTGATCTCAACTCACTGCAACCTCCGCCTCCCAGGTTCAAGCAATTCTCCTGCCTCAGCCTCCCGAGTAGCTGGGATTACAGGACACCACCATGCCCGGCTAATTTTTTTTTTGTATTTTTTAGTAGAGATGGGGTTTCTCCATGTTGGTCAGGCTGGTCTTGAACTCCTGACCTCAGGTGATCCGCCTGCCTCAGCCTCCCACAGTGCTGGGATTACAGGCGTGAGCCACCACACCCAGCCGAACTAAGCTTTAAGTGAAGAACATGTCTTGCTCATCTACTAACTTTTTAGAAAAAAGAATTTGGGTCCCAGTACAATTCTTTATGGACTTTTGATGTGCTTGCTGTCATTTCAACCCTCATAAATCCAGAGATTTGCAAGGTTTTAGGAAGTGACTCTTGAGAATACTCAGGACTCCTATGGTTGAGCATGACAGGAAGGTGGGGGACTCATTTGGTCAGAGATAATGCTGAGGGTGGATGAGTGAGACTGTGGAAAGCCTGATGTGTCCAAGATCACAGGCGGAGTTCTGAGCCAACTGATAATTTTGAGAAGAAGGAAATTGAAAAGTTTAGAGGTTAAGAGCTTTCCACAGTACGATATACACATATACATATATAATCTATATTGTAAATGTACACATATTATTATATGTATATGTAGACACATACATATTACCTATATACAAATGTATACACATGCGTATATTATTATAATTCAAAATCTCTAAATAAGTGTATACACGGTTTTCACCTTGAATTATACCAGTTAACAATTATTGAACTCCTAAATACCAGGACTTTGCTTTGCATTAACAAGCATTATATCACTTCATCTTTGCAACAAGGTGAAGAACTCATTATTATTATCTCAATTTTTCAAATGAAAAAAGAAGACTCAGAGAAGTTAAGCTACTAGCCATGGTGCCAGTAAGTAGCTGAGCTGGAATTTGGTCTCTAATCTGTCCAGCTCCTCCAGGCCTGCTCCATAAACAGTCATATGATTCTGTCCCTCTTACCTGTTACACCTGTTTGCATGCCTGGTTCTCTGGCTCCTCTGCAAGCTCCTAAGGGTTGAGGCTGGGGTCTGTTCTCCTCATGCCTGCATGGCTTAGGCCTAGGCCAAAGACAACACTTGCAAATGTTTGTGGAGGAATTGAAGGAATTAATTGCTCCACATACTGAGAGGCAGAGCTTGGCTAGAACTAGACTCCCTAAAAAGAGCAGAAAGGACTTCTTCAGCCTCCGAAGATCTCTTCCTTCTCTGAAATCTAGCACTTACAGCCATTTCCATTTCCTAAGTCACCAGATACTGTCCTATTTCATCTTTTATACTACTGAATAAAAATAGTATTAACGTATGTATTTATACTACCTTATTCAACTATTTTTTAAATATTTAACACTCACATAGATTTCCTTTTTTTTTTTTTTAATTTGGTTCCTTACTGGACTAATGAGCTTCTTGGGAGTTAAAAAGAGATAAAGGAAATTTTCCTGTATTGAGTTTGTATAATGTACCAAGCACCATGTCATGTCCATCACATACAGGAATTTTTAAAAAATCTTCATGACAGTCCTTAGAAACAGTTATTATCTGTCTTTTACAGGAGAGAAATTTTGGGCTCAGACAGTGAAACATAGTAATTTGAATGATAACACACAGTAAGAACATGGCTGAGCTGGGACTCAAACCTAGGGCTTTCTGACTCCAAAGCCTATGACGTGGCCACTGCCTTTCCAGTCTGAGCCCTAATTGCCACACGGCCTGGGCTTCCCGTGCCAGACAACACCATCTCTCCCTCCTCTCCCACACTCCTCACCATAGCAGGACCTGATTGCTATCAGCCCAGGCATCGTGGAGGCTGCAGCAGAAACGCGCTCTGGCATCTGAGGATGCTGCATAAGGTATGCCAGCAAGAGGAAGAACAGTTGGTGAACAGTTGGTGAGTGGATATTTTTATGCAAGGGTTGCCTAGAGAGAGGAGAAAGAAGAGTGAAAAAAACTGTTTATAAAGAAGCCACAATTAATAAGGTCTTTGTTAGCTTTTTGGATTTCGATTTTCAAGTCCATTGCTTTGGGTTTAAATGGAAGCAGAAAGGTCCCCAAGGAGCCAAACTCTCAGCTTCCAAAGCATAAAGGCATTTAGGAAACCGATCCCAGCCTGAATGTGTTGAAGATTTTAAGTATTCAGCAAGGAGTGCAAAGATGCTGTGAATTCCTTTGGACAGCTTCTCATCAGGATTGTTTATATTGCAGCATGCTCAGTATGTGAGCTTAAGAAGAGCTACAAGATAATTTAAAAAAGTAAAAGAAAAAGAAAGCACCACCTTTAGAATATCCAAGAGAACCACAACCACTCTAATCTTTTGGCTACCAATTTACATCCCTCTCCAAGCCTCAATGTTCTCATCTATAAAATGGGAATATAGTATCCATCAAAGTGGGTTACTGCGAGGATGTGAAAATGCCCTGTAAACCTTAAAACAATTTATAAATGAGATTATTGCTTTTTGTAGAATACTTTTTTATGTGAAGCCCTCTACTTCCCTTATCTCTTTTTACACATACATTCATTCTTCAAGAATTTAAAAATACATACACAGCTACCATTTGTTAGAGTACTTAGACTATGCAAGATCCATATTTTGCTATATTTGACCCTTGCACTGGCCCTATGAGGCAGGTGCCATTCCCCACCTCACCTGTCCCATATTTCAGTTGAAGAGGAAGCTCAATGAAAGGTTAAGGAATACAACCAAGGTCAGTAATAAGCAGAGTCAGTATCAAAGACTGCTCTGGAGTGGACACTTGGTCTAGATTCTGAGTGCTGATCACTTGACTACAGTGGCTTTCTGCCTGCTACTTGCCAGGAGCCTTGCAGCCATCCAAAGAGTTAGCATACAAACAGGCATTCTGTTAGGGTTGACTTTGTGTCCTCCCAAAAGAAGATATATTAGAATCCTAACCCCTGCTTCCTCAGAATGTGATCTTATTTGGAGACAGAGCTTGACAGAGGTAAGCAAATTAAAATGAAGTCATTAGAATCGTCTCTAATTTAATAAGACTGGCATCCTTATAAAAAGGGATGTGGACACAGAGAGAAAAGCATAGAAGGAAGATGATGTGAGAAGACATAGAAAGAGGACAAAAATCTACAAGCCAAGGAGGGAGGCCTGGATCACATCCTTTTCTCATAGCCCTTAGAAGAATCCACCCTGCTGAAACCTTGATTGTGGACTTCTACCCCCAGAACTGTGAAACAATACATTTCTGTTGTTTAAGCCACCCAGTTAGTGGCACTTTGTTTATGGCAGCTTTCACAACCTAATGCCTATTCTGAATCCTCTTTTCTGGATGAGGCTCTGGAAGAGGAAGAGATTAGGTGACTTACTCAAGAGGTAGGTGAGATGGCTGAGATTTGCACCCCATTTTCTGTCCACTCCTGCACATTGATTGCTAAAAGAAAGCTCCTTGGAGGCAGGTATTTCTCTTGGTTGTATTCACTGTGGTGCCTGGCATTTATATCAGTGTCTGGCATATCATAAAGCAATACTTGTTGAATAAATGAATGAATGAATGCAGATCTTTCTACCAACTTACCCAGTGTATCACAGCTAGATTAAAATGATTTTTAAAAAGCACATCAGGCTGGGTACGGTGGCTCATTCCTGTAATCCCAGCACTTTGGGAGGCCGAGGCAGGTGGATCACTTGAGGTCAGGAGTTCGAGACCAGCCTGACCAACATGGTGAAACCCCGTCTCTACTAAAAATTTAGCAGAGCGTGGTGGCAGACACCTGTAATCTCAGCTACTTGGGAGGCTGAGGCAGGAGAATCACTTGAGCCTGGGAGGCAGAGGTTGAAGTGAGCTGAGATCATGCTACTGCACTCCAGCCTGGGCAACAAAGTTAGACTCCGCCTAAAAAAAAAAAAGCACATCATCCTGGAACAAGAATTTCAACAACTTACAGTCACTGTCAGAACAAAGAGTTTCATACTTTGTATTCAACTTCTTCCCACAATCAAAGACTTATAATTATAAACAAGTTTTCACAAAAATTCTTTTGAAGTCTTGTTTCATGTATTGTCAGGTATGAAACTCCAAGGTGCTAATTCTTATTTGTACTTGGAAACCAGTGACTCACCTGCCTTCCTACCTCTGGTTTCTGCCCATGTTGCAATTCCATCAGAGGTTTTTCTTTCTACCTCGTTGACCAATCCTCAGTTTTCCTTTACTGGCTCTTCCTCATTTTTCCAAACTCTGAACTGCGGTGTGGTCCAGGATTCTGCTTTTCTCACTTTTTTGGTAACCCCATACAGTCTTGTAGTTTTAAATACTGTTTATGTGCTAATATCCAGATTGGTGTCTCCTGCATACACTTCTACACTGAATTCTAGACCTGTATATATCCAATAACCTTTTTAATATTTCCATTTGAATGTCTAATATATATCTCAAAGCCAATATGTTCAAAACCAAACTCCTGATTTCTCCCTTCACCCCAGATAAAATACAGCTTCACTTACAGTCTTCCCTGCCTTAACAAATGTCAACTTTATCCTTCCATTGCTTAGGCTGAAACCTTTGGGCTTCTTTTCACTCCTTTTCTCACACCTGATATCCACTTATTCAGCTGATTCCATAGTATTACTTACAAAAATACTGAGGATGTGGCCACTTCTCACCACCTCCACTGTTACCATCATCCTTTTTGCCTAAATTATTGCATTAGCTTCTTACCTGGTCCTCGACATCCAGTCATGTCCCTGTACAATCTCTTCACACATTTTCCTGAACAAGCCTATTAAAATGTAAGTCAAATCACATGCTCCTCCTTTCAAAATTTTCCAACAGACCTATGTGATTTAATATCTCACCACCTCTCTGATTCTATTTCCTTCATTTCATCATTCACCAGATGACATTCAGTTTTATTTACATGGCCTATGAGCAAGTTTGCAAAGAAACAAGCTCTGGTAGATCCAAGGTTTTTCTGAGGGAGTAATTTCAGTATAATTCTCTGAATAAGCTAACTCTTCTCCACATCTACTCCACCAATACCTCCCAAAGTCTTTCCAAGATGGTCCTAACTAGACCACATGTTGCTCAACTCTTTATTGAAATATCCACTTCAGTTGCATATGATTTTTCTCATTATCATATCATTAGCTGCAGGAGTATCCAATCTAGAGTGGTTACACGTACCCTTACAACTTCTTCTCTATTTTGGTCGAACTCCGTCGGAATGAAGCTTCCCTCATTCTTATGGTTACAAGAAGGTAAATAGGTGGCAATCTCGTTATCATGTCTGCTTTCTGCCTGTTTTGGTGTGCTGGATGTCTTTATTTAATGAGGTCTTCCCTCCACCCTTCTGTGCCTGCCCCAGGAGGCTGACCTGTATGAAATACATAAGTGGCCTTCTGTACCTTTAAAGCCTCTGGATAAAGTAAGAAATAAGAGTGAGATCAGGCTATTTTTTTCCCTGAATTCCTCCCAGTGGGCTCACCTTGGTTTGGCTGTCTCAGATGTCACTAATCCCCTTCAAGGGGGCTGCTCTACAGGAATCCCTCTCATATAGAGTTCTCTCCTACCTCTTACCCTCTAGCCTGGGGTGGTAACCTCCACTATTATCAGCTCTGGGTTACTGCTTCATCCCCTAGGATTCCCTTCCCTTGCTTACACCTTTATAATTAGTCTCTCCTTGAGCTCTTCTCTCTTGAGTGTGCTGCCAGTTTCTTGCTGGGACCCTGACAGATATATCTGATGATCTATAAATGTTCCCCTGACTTAGTACATTTTATCTGTGGTAATCAGATCTGACATATTGCCTTCCTCTGACACAACAGATTCTTTTCCTGATCAATACTGCTCAACTGAGCAAGAGAAAGTCTATCTCTCACTAGGAAGGTGAGTTTCTGAAGCCAAACTGACCCATCCTGTAATCCTAGATTAGACAATGACCAACTGCCTTATCTTCTTGGCATTTTACTACCCACCAAACCTTGTGCATTTTAAAATGGGAATAATATGACTGATATAGACCAGTATATACCATATAATTAGCAAATATTAATTTGTGTTTTTCCTTTTCACCTTGGTGCATTTGTTTTTCTAGCTCATTTTTTTTTTCTTCTGCTTCATTTTGGTTAATCCAATACCTTAAACCTCAATGGAGCTCATGGAGTAGCAGTGTGTAATTTGCAGTCAGATAATTTTCTCATCAGTGGGAGTTGCTCTTGTGCTAATTTGGGCTGTATCCTCTTGTGCTAATTTGGGCTGTATCCTCTATTTCAGTCTTTTGTCTTATTTGTAAAAAGCATATCGTATTATTCCAACTTCTACACTTTTCTTTGTAAGCTTGTGCATCGTGACTGAAAGTGAAACAGAAAATGACATTCCATCCTCAGAGTCATCGACAAGACACTCAAGACACTACTATTAGGGAAAATCTAAATGTACTGTTTTCTGAATATAAGGGTCTTTCTCTGCTCTTGCATGTGGGCTTGACTGACAGTAGAAAGGACAAGGGACTAAGTCAGATTAACTGGGATGCTAGATTTCCCTCAGCTACGTGTCCTTCTGGGGCTGGAGTCAAGGTCATATTAAGCAATGCCACTAAGACTTTTCACAGGAAGTTTATGAGATGGTTGAGGTGAAGAAAGAGAGGTTTAATCAGGAGGGAGGAGACCTGCCATGAGCCTCAAGGTTCATGGCACATCAGAGAGGCTAAAAGCAAAAACATTGAGTGCCAGAGTTCAAGATGGAGGTAAAAATAGAACAGACTGTATATTTCAAAGTAGAGAGAATGAAGAATATTTTCAGACACAGAGAAGACAGTGGCAAAAAGAGGTGTGGATATAAGCCAAGATCCATTCAGGAACACATTGTACAAACAGGGCCGCTATGCCTCTTTAGGAGAAGGCTTGGCATGGTCTCACCAAGTTTAAGACCAAAGCTGAAAGTGGCTTTATCTTTAAGTCTTTTGCCTCTCTGAGCCCTAGGACTCATGGCAGCTAATAGGGGATAACACACCTTGCCCCATTTGTCACCTAGAACTGTTATAAGGATAAAATGAGGTAATGGGTGTGAAGGCACTCTATAAACCACAGAGCACTACACAAAAGTGAGGATCCAGCAGCTATTTTATCATACAGAGCTAAACTCTTCTCTAACAGACTGCATACCTGGTCAGTTGGAGTCAGACTAATCCTGAACTCCATCTCCACTAGGGATGTATTAGTCAATAGAAAAACTATATTCAAAGGAATTTAAGCAAAAGTCAACCAAAGGCATGCTGCAGGTAAGTTGCTGGATGGCTGGGCTTACAGGAGGACAGGTACTGGGTATTCAGACTCAAATCAACCTTGCTCTATGTGTAGTCTCTACTTTTTCCTATGGTTCTGTTTCACTGGGTTACCATCGTAGCCTCGCTTTCTTCTTGAGGCTGAAGCATGATCATTGTAACTCCTGGACCTACCACTTCCTAGGCATCATCACCCAAAAGGAGTGGGCCACCTTCTCTTAGTTCCATTTTAAAAATTCCTGAGTGAACTTGTCCTGGCTTATATCGCATGCTCATTTAATGACTTGGCTTGGGTCACATGCCCATTCTATGCCAGACCATGGCACCTATGATTGGTGCTTCTGTATGCTTTGGATCATGGAAGAGAGTGTTTCTTAACTATTTCTGGAAGGGAAAGTGCTGAAAAGACCGAAAAATAGATGGCCACTAAAGGGATGTAATAAACACTACATCCTATAACCTGTTTTTATGGCCAATACATCCGAACTTTTAGGATGGACACCCCTCATCCCCACTGGAAGCACATAGAGAAGAGGATTGATAGTGAATTAGTCAGGGTCCTGGCAAGGAACAGATGGTACACTCAGAAGGGGGTTCTAAGGGGGCTTTAGAGAAAGGACTATTTGTGGAGGTATGGGAAGGGTTAATAAAAACCAAAAAGGGAGTTGGTGGTGAAATATCCAATGTTCCTACCAGTGGGCAGCCAGTTATGTCCCTTGGCCTGAAAGGGAAAGGAAGGGATGGTTATCTGAACCATTGAGACATGTAGCCATAGGGTAAGGCCAGCAGACAGCGGATGTGGCCTTATTACAGGAACCCAGCCACTGCCAACCAGCAGATAAATAGGGAGGGGCTAACCTTTCTCTCCTCTCACCTGCCTGTTTCATGCTAGCACTCTCATTGGCCAGTTCCAACTAGAACTCAGAATTCAATGAGCTCAGCTTGATGGCGTCCTTAACAATTAGATTCCAGGGCACAGAGCAAGGTGGAGAAGAATGGAAAAGCAATCTGGAAGGGCAAACGGAGGATGTCCAGCACAAGGGTGTATCTGCTCCCTTTGGCACAAAAGATAGGCCTAGTTGGAGTCCACTCTGTAAAATGGGACACCTTAAAAGAATAATGGAATTTTAGGGCTAGAGAAGTCCTTAAGATCATTCAGACCAGAATTTATAAACTTGCCTATATCTAGCATTCAGGTGTGGCTTACATGGCTAATGTAGCTTTAATACCAAAAAGCAAACACTAGCAGGCAATAAACAAAACTCAAAATTTAACATTAATGTCCTTAGGTCAAGTATGTAGTTTCCAGTTCACCACGATTATCATCATTCCCTATTGTCCAACACCCCGTATACATTCTTGCCTCCCAGAAGTATTTGACACGAGGACTTGTAAATAGAAAAGTCAAGCTTCTTCATTTTTCAGATAAAGAAGCTGGGATGGCAAGGAAACTTGTTTGCCCATGGCTGCACAGCCTTGGTGGGAATTCTGTCTGCAAAGACAAAAATAGAAATGTATAAATATGAGGACTTAATGAAAGAGTTGTTTGCCTCTATAAGATGAGACTCCATGGGAGCCACCATCACACATGGGAGTGACTGTCATTTGAAGCAAGAGTTATGCAAGGATTCTACTTGCTCTTTGTGGCCTTAGAAGGTGGAAATAGAACAATAGGGAAAAGTGATTATGATCGGTGCAAGTCAGAGCTTGCAAAGGGCTATTCAGAATGGACTGGGATGCCTCAGTTCATCCTCACTTCCCATCTGTGCAGCTGGTCAATTAACAGAAACAGAACCACCCCTTAGTGAGGATGGTGTTGGACCTTGTTCTTAGAGCCCTCCTCCTATGAGTTGAGCTGATGCTGAGTTGAATTGGAATGAGAGGAATGTGTCTTCTTGGCTTTTTTCCATGGATTATCTTTCATTTTATTCCATGCTTTTTTGGTGGCATGTGGGTAGGAAGGCTTTATTTGCTTTGCTCTCTTCTCAGAATCCCTAGCCTTCCTCCCATCAAGAATCTAGAAGTAAGTCTGTGCTCTGTTTGCCTTTACCTATTACTCTCAAATACCCTCCCTTTTTTCCACTCAGACCCATTCCTTTTCTGTCCCCACATGTGTTAGGCTCATTTTCACCTGCACCTACATCCTCAGGATATGATTAGTGAAGATACTGGTTTAGTTGTAATAATGGAGATCAAACAGCAGTGGCTTAACTGGAAGGAGGAGTGGAGCTGTTGGGCTGTCTGGATGGGAAGGGTGGCTGTGCTCAACAAAGTCACCAGGAACCCAGTTTCTTCTTTCTATTGCTTCATCATCCCCCATTGTCTTTATGAGCAAAGATGACTCTTCCCCATCATACTCCCATGCCAATCCTCAAGAGAGGGGAAGAAGACACACAGAACAAGTAAATTCATTTTGAGAAGTGATCCACAACAGTGCTTCTTGTCACATCCTATTGTTCAGAACTTATTCATGTGGTCGTTCCTGGAGGCAAAGAAAAAAAAAAGGTCATAGAAGTAGCAGGTAGCCACATCTGAGCTAAACTGAGGGACAGGGATGTAGTAGGAGGTGCATTAGTAAAAGGAAGAAAGAATGAATGGATATTGAGAACCAGTGAGTCCACCCAGGATGCACTGTATAAGCGGAATGACTTCCTTTTGCCCTCTGAAACCAAAGCTCATCATCTTTCAAATACCAGTTTAAATCTGCTCACTCTTTTAAGTTTTCCTAAAGAATCATCCTTAAGATGGGTCTCCGTATTCTAAGAGGACTGGGTTTAATGTTACACCTGTAGTATATACCCAAGGAATATATGGGGAGTTGGTTCAAATGCTCCCCACCACCTTTGCCATTGTCCACGGTCCAGCAAAGGGAGGGAATGATACCATGAGCTTACATTCACTGGGCATCTACTAAGCACCAGGTGCTGTACTAACAGTTATGAGCGTTACCTCAATCTATCATTGTAATTGCTCTAGAAATTAGGTACTGTTGTCCATTTGCCAGAGGAGGAAACTAATACTCTGTGACGTCACTTTCCCAAAGCTCTGCTGCTAGGAAGTGCCATATTCTGAATTTAAACATGAAACTGGCTCCAAGGTTTATCGCTTATTTCAACACATTGAAACTTTTCTGTAAAGAGCTTTGCAATAGGGAAGCTTCACAGAACTGAAACAACTGGATAAGTCAGTGTTTCTACATTGGTCAAACTGGCAATTTGAATAAGACAGGCAAGGAAAAAGAATATCTAGCCATATTATCCATTGGGCTAATTTAAGTTTCCAGGGAAGTATATATATATATATGAATCAGGCTCCTCTTCCCGGATCTGTTTTAAGAAAGTCATACAAAAGACTACCCCCCTCACCCCCCAATGTCTATCCTTCCTTTCCTTCCTTGATCTCTTCCATGATTTTCTCTTGGGGGAAAGGAGCAGATTGAAAACTGTGGTTATATATGTAACCATTAAAATAGATGCTCTGCCTATAAAAATAAACTTGTGCCAGGGTCTAATAAATTATGTGTTAACATGGCAGCTCACTAGTCTGCAGGGGAACTGCATTCACTCTCCTGATCAGAGTAGCGTACTTCCAAGCCTCCCAATTTGTTAGTTCCTTAGCCTGGCATAGCTGAGAACTTATTCTGCATTCAGTATAGCAAATATTCTTGAGTACCACAAGGTGCCTGTTTCCAAACTAGATATTGAAGACTGTAAGTGAAGAAAACAAAGGACTTGTCCTCAGGGATATCAGTCCACAGGGCAGAACAAAACAGGAGAAACAAATAACAGTAGTGCCATCAGGTTTTTCTAACAGGTGAAGTGTACTTAAGGTGCTATTGATTTAAAAGAGAGGATTTGATTCTGAATTGAAGAGGAGACATAATGTCTGAGCTGGGTTTTGAAACATAGGAGATAATCAGATGACAGAGAGGGTATTCCAGGCAGAGGGAATAGAATATGCAAAGACAAGGAGGCATGAAACACAGTATATGTTTTGGGAACCATAAGCAGATCCAGAACTTTGCAGTATGAATTTATCATGTCAATTTCAAGACTCTATTTGATGGGTGATAGAGAGGAATAAAGGATTTTAAACAGGAGAATGAAGTGATCCCATTTATGTTTTAGAAGTATCCCCTGTGGACAATGTTAGGAGGACATGGAGAAATGAGGAACGCCTGTTAGAAAGCAGTGCTAGTGATCAAAGATGAGAAATGATGAAATATAAGGTGTGTGATGGTCTGGGAAGGGAAGCTAGTGGGTGAATATAGAAAAATTGCTAACATTTATTAAGGATTTGCTATGTGCCAGGTACTGTTTTATGTTCTTTGATATGGTAACTTACTTCATCCTCTTAACCCTTCAAGGAGGTAGATATTATTATTATCAATATTTTACAGCTGAAGAAACTTAGGTATTAAACCCAGCTAAAAATTTGCAGAACCAGCATCTGAGGCCAGTCTGGTCCCAGAGCCTTCTCTCTTAAGCACTGAATGGGGATGCTTTAATTTGCTTTCCTTATTGAAATATTAGGCTAAGATTATCCTTGAAGGGCATGCAATAAGCCGTCTTGCAAGGAAGAGGTTTAACAGAGCAGAGTGACATTTTATCTGAGTACCCAACTAGCTCAACAACCTTGGGACAACATGATAGTCTGTAACCTCATCTGTGAAATGGAGATATCTATACACAATTCCTAGGACTTTTCTGAGGATTTAAGGGACAGTTCACTTTAAAAGGGACAACCCCAGTGCCTGAAAGTTAGCAAGCAGTTCTCAAACACTAGTTTATTTTTTCTTTCCTCTTGGAGGATACTGGAACTTTTGCAGCTCCTATTAAAGTTTTTATAAAGAGAGATGAAAATTATTAGACTGTTGAAAATAAATGAATTATGGCTACCTGCAAAAATGTAGGTGAATCTTGGAAAAATAATGTTGGGTGAGAAGAGAAAATCTCAGAAGACCACATACAGTAGGATTCCATTTTCATAAAGTATAAAAACAAGAAAATCTAAGTAATGTATTCTTTAGAAATATGTGCATTATATATATATATTGTGTGTGTGTGTGTGTAGATAGATGATAGATAGACAGACAGACAGACAGACAGATATAGATAGATAGATAGATAGATAGATAGATAGATAGATAGATAGATAGATAAAGAATTGCTTAACACAGGCATCTCCAATCCCCAGGCCACGGACCAGTACTGGTCTATGGCCTGTTATAAACTGGGCTGCCCAGCAGGAGGTGAGAGCCTGATGAGCAAGCCTCGCTGCCTGAACTCCACCTCCTGTCAGATGAGCAGGGTATTAGATTCTTATAGGAGCACAAACCCTATTGTGAACTGCACATGCAAGGGATCTAGGCTGTGCACTCCTTGTGAGAATCAAACTAATGCCTGATGATCTGAGGTGGAACAATTTCATCCCCAAACCATCCCCCCAGCCCCCCCCATGGAAATATTGTCTTGCATAAAATCTGTCCCTGGTGCCAAAAAGGTTGGGGACCGCTGGCTTAACGTAACACTAAGAATGGTGATTGCTGCTGGAGAAGAAGGCAAGGACACAGGTTAAAGGAGGAGCATGTAGTTGGTACAATGGTAGATTGCTGGTGAGTGCATGGATGTTCATAACATTGTTATTATTAATATTTATCCTTTGTAGGCATTAAATATTACATAAATTACATTCAAACAGATAATGAAGGAAAAATAGTATCCAAAGAGGTAAATGAGGCTTTAGGCCTGGCTTGATTCAAGATCTAAACAAAGACCCAAGGCTCTATTTCTTGGCTTGGCTTCCTCTAGGTTCAGATTCTTCAATCTGAATAGTGGTGGCTTCCCCGGTAACTTCAGATTTACATTGTTCTAATACCCAGTCAAGTACAAGAGAGAACATATCCTTCCCCAGTAGCTCAAGAGGAAGATTCAGAACTGAATCTCATCAGCCCTGATTGGCCTGGGCCTGGGGACCTGAATCAATGCCTTTGGCCAAGATGTACATTAACTGACATAGTCTAGGTCTTATGCTGGACTCCTGTGGCCTGGGCTAGAATCGACTAGACTCAAAACGCATTGGTTGAGAGTGAGGGGGAGGGCTGGCTACTTCAGAGCCAAATCAGGATATTGATGCTACACAAATAAATAGATGTCAACGGTAAAAACAGCAAATGCCCACAAGAGCCATTTCCAATTCTTGCATTTTTATGATTACACAAGCAACACACAGATACTATAGACATTTTTTAAAGTTTGGAAAATCATAAAGACAAAAATAAAAGTCATCAGCAACCTTGCTAAGCTGAGAAAACCAATGTTAACATTTAGACTTATTTTTTCCAGTCCTTTCTTTGGGCCTTTTATTGCATTGGTGATTGTGTGTTCAGTTACACGATGTGTCTTCTTTTTACTTAACAAACACATTATTGTTTTCACAAGCTAAATTCAGTCTACTACTGAAGAAGTAGTTATGCAGGTAGTTATGTAGTTTCCAGAGATATACCTGAGCTCAGTCTCCAAGGAAGGTTAGTGAAGCAGGTGAGAGGCAGAAGTTGTAGAGCAGAGAGGGACCCCAGGTCAAGGGGCTAGCATAAGCACAGGCATGGAGGTAAGAAGTACCATACTGTTTCTTGAGCCCAAAGTGTAATGCACAGAAGCTGGAGAGGAGGCTACAGAAGGCCTTGCATGCTCTGCAAGAGAATTTGAACATTTCAGAAGGAGACCACGGTTTATTTTAGTTTGGGATTGTGATCTCTGCCCCTGTTCAGGACATACTGACGATCTGAACTTTCTTTCAGGCCTTCTGTATGTCAGCCTTACACATTCTTTAAAGGTAAATAATAAGCTGCCCACTCCAGAAATTCCACTTTGCAAATTCCTTCCACCATTCTCCATAGGCGTCAATTTCTCCCTCTTCTGAGGCACACTGAGGGCCTTAGTTCATGATCTTTGCATTTCCTGTTATACCTGGTGCATCGAACGTGAGTCAGATAAATACTTAGGAAACTGGACTATACCAGTGTTTGTCATGTGGGAGAGAGTTTTCTTTCCACGGGACGTTTGGCAAGGTCTAGAATACTTTTGGTTGTCATGACTTCTGAGGGAAGTGCTGTTGGGTATTTAGTGGGTAGACCTAGGGATGCTGCTAAGTGTTGTATAACTCACAGCCCGTGCAACAAGGTGTGCTCTGGTTAAAAATGTCAATAGCGCTAAGGTTGAGACACCCTGAAGTACACGGACTGAAGTGCAGAGGTTGCTGGGTGGTGGTCAGGAGAACTCATTTCTGGTCTTGGTTCTGTGGCAATTTACCTTGGGGATTTTGGGCACTGGACTGTCTTTGGGTCTCAGGGCTGTCATCTCTGAGAATTCTAGTATGAAGATCACATGCTTTGGAGTCAGATGACACTGGGCTCAAATTTTGACTCCAGTCCCTGCTCTACCTGTGAGGTCCTGGGCAAGTTACTTTTTATGCCCTCGTTTCCTCATATTTTGACAGGGGTAATGGTGTCTACTTTGGAAAACTAGGAGGAATTGAGATCACCTATGTAAATCAAGACCCATAGCACTTGACACATGGAAGGTGCTCAGTAATCAGCATTGCCATGATACTAAGACTATGACTATTAATAGAATAAAGGGCTTGAAAAATGGACTCTAAGATCTTTTCCAGCTCTAATATTTTAGAACTTCTTGTTTTGTTTTCTCTGCATGTAAATGCTGAACACGGCTAGGCATGTGTATCATATGGGGTCCCTGCAGGAAGCATATGGCACATTCCAACTGAGAAACTTGAGGAAAGTGTATTAAAGGGATTTTTATAAAGGCATGAGCATGACTTAGAATAACCAAAAAGAGATAATACAGGACTCCTGAGCTAGACCTCCTAGGTCTGAAAGGGTAAGAAGAGGGGCCGTTACCAGAATCCTGAGACAGGTGGCTTTGTGGAGAGGGCTGCCTTGCAGGAACTGCAGTGAACCTTTGTAGAGACCAGGGAATATATATATCAGACCGCATCCCCTCTTTCTACTCCTCTATCTCTTGCTGGTGGCTTCCATTATTTGAATCCAACAGAATGCCCAAAGCAAAGAGCCTGTTGATGCAACCCTATGTCAACTCCCTAACACACAGATCCTATTAGAGAAGGTGGAGAAAGTGGATTTGGAGGCAAATAAAATATAAATGGCAGCACAATTTATATTTTTGTGCAATTTGTGGCCATGAGAATTTGTGGAATAACAAGCAGTCAGGGGTTTGGGCACCATGACTTGCTATTAGATTCAACATGTTAATACTTTAGCTCTTTGCTAAGGAGAGAGAGGGCTCCACGTATAGTTAGTTGTCTGCCCCACTCTGAGTGCATCTTGCCCTGCAGACTCAAGGGGAAACACAGTTCTGTTCTGATAAAGGCATCTGTGACTTCTTTGAATACTGAATGCCTCAAGGAATCTCCATGCTGGGAGGTGGAAAACAGTGGAGGCTGGTTTGGGAAGCAGCATGGTTTGGTAAAACCCTAGTGATCTGTGTCCCAGTTCTGTATCTGTCACTTGCTGGCTTTGCTGTCTCTGGGACTCAGTTTCTTCACCTGTGAAATGGAGTAGCAGCCTGTGGTTTACAGACCTGTTGTGTGGATTAGATATACATGATAGAATGTAATCCAGTACATGGCAGCATGTGGTACTCACCAACCAGGTTTTACTGATTTAACATTTGTCTTTTCGTTAGTTATTGAGTGTCAACCATGTGCTGGGCCTTCAAGTAAAGTCATGATGACTAAATTAAGGTCCCTAACTTTAAGGAAATCATGGTTCAGAATAAGTTTCTATTCTGGGATTGACAGGTAGGCTTTGGAAATTCCAAAACCCCCTTAAAATGGAACACAGAAGTTTGTATATATGCAGGTATGTATATGCCTTCTTCAGGAAAGATTTTATTAGTTTCTCCAAGATAAGTATCAGTGAGTGAGAGCTTTTAGAGGAGAATTCCTGAGAGTGAAAGATTATCAACCTCTCATTCAGTAGAACTGCTATTAATAATAAAACAGGCCAAGTGTGGTGGCACATGCCTATAATTTCAGCACTTTGGGAAGCCAAGATGGGAGGATTGCTTGAAGCCATGAATTTGAGACCCACCTAGGTGACATAGTGAGACCCCATCTCTGCCAAAATAATAATAATAATAATAATAATAATAACAATTAGCAAGTGTGGTGGTATATGCCTGTAGTCTCAGCTACTTGAGAGGCTGAGGTGGGAGGATGGCTTGAGCCCAGGAATTCGAGGCTGCAGTGAGCTATGAACAAACCACTACACTCCAGCTTGGGCAACAGAGTGAGACCTTGACTCTAATGATGATGGTGATGATGATGATGATGACGATGGTGATGATGATAAACAGACAGTATTCAGTGAGAGCATGATTGGAATGTGGCCCTGTAATCATCTTTCTGTGGCCTTGCATGGAAGCATTTAGGCTAGAGAATAGATGTTGCAGGCAGAAATCGCCGGTTTTGTATAACTAACTTTCCAGAGTTGTCAGAAAGGTGATTGGGAGGGACCAACACATTCAAGAAGATTCTAAAAGATCACTTACAGGACATTCTATATTGGAGCAAGTACCTATAAGACCTTTTCAACTTTCAGGTTTCACTATCTCACTAGGATACTGTCAAGGTGATGGTGACCATGGTAGAGAAAAAGAAGGTGTGTGCTTATATGTATCTCTGCTTGCTCTGCTTCCTGTGTGAGGTGGCATGATCACATGAATGAGGTGTTCTAACAGTGTGAGGTGGCATGATCACATGAATGAGGTGTTCTAACAAGCCAAGGAGTGGACCAGGTACAGAGAAATAGATGAGATAGCGCTTTTTGGAGCAGCTTGCCGAGGTTATATATGTGTGTATGTGGAAGAGCTGTTTACGCTAACATGAAGAGATACTATTAGACACTTACAAATCAACTTAATTGCCTTAACTCTGACCAAGGCTGGGAACCATGGAACTTTTTTTTGGAGGTCCCCTGCATTCTAAAGACTGGAGCCAATGACAAGTAGTAGCTTTCAAATATCTTTACTTAAGAAATCCCAAAGAGCAAGTTATGGATTTATTAATTCATCAGTTATTAATTGAGCACAGAAATCTCTGCCCTTGAGTTGTCTATAGTATCTTGTGGGACATATACATGTGAAGAAAGCTCTGCAGGCCTGTGGATAGTGCAGTAACGTGGGGGTGGACTAAGTAAGTGCTGAAGAGCAAGCCAATTCCAGAAGACTTGCTTGAGGAGCTAATGTTGGGCTGAACTCTGAAGGATGCATAGAAAACAGAAAGGATGGGGAATGAGGAGGGTGGAACAGGTGATTCCAGCCTCAAGGAACAGGGTACCAGGCCACCAAACAGGACAGGTGAAAGACAGTCTTGGTTTGAAGAAAGATGAAGCCAGCGTGTTGAGTATGTGGGATGGCTGTGGGATGTGAGACTGGTGGAGCCAGTGGGAAGAGATTATGAAGAACTCTGAGTGCCTTGGCCTCAATATGAGCTTTAAACTGAGTGAATAGAAACCATGTGAGGGTGGACAGCATTTGTCTAGCACAGTTAATTTGTGTTTTAGAGAGAACTACTTCCTAAGTCTTAACATAGAGTTGTGGGCAATGGGGTCCAATGTGACTCCAGTTTCTCTCTTCCCTCTTCTCAGGCAGGAGTAGGCTGAGTCCTTAAGGCCTTATTCTTTCCGCAGCAGAACTCTCACTGGCCCTTTCTCCCATGCTGTGCATCTCCTCATAAATCAGGAGAGAATGCCCCAGGTCTCCGCATGGCTTTCTTGTTACCATAAATCTCGGGTATGAGTATGGTAGAGGGTGATTTAGGTAATTACGTAACATAAAACTGCTCTTGGCTTTCTCATGTCTAAAGAATTGTTATCTGTGTATCTCATTCTGCAATTTATGGCCATTCTGGATGAGGGAGAGGGTTCTTACAGTCACTGCCTGTAAATTATGTGCTTTTCCACTGGTGAATATTCCTGATGGTAAATGACTATTATTCCTATAGGCTGTACTCATATATACATAAGAAACACAGGCATGTGGAATGATGCGGGCCAATTTATCATGCTGTCTTATTTAGAGGGCAAGGCCAATGGGAGGCAGGGGTGGAGTCTATGCCTCTCTGAACAGGCTCTTCCAATAGGACAGGGGCCACATCCATTTAGGCCTCAGGAACCCTTTGCCATGTAACACACATGAGCTTACTACAAAGTGGTTCAGCTGTGACTGCTCAATTAATAACAGCTTGTGTTGACTTTTTTTAAACCACGTAATTGAGTGTGCAATTGGGTTTACTCTTGCATTATATGTTCATTGTTTCTTGATTCTTAATCAAGTATTAATTCTCAAGATGAAGACAATATGTTATAATTCAATATCTCCAGCTCTTACTTAGTGCTTTGCAGGCAGAAAGAGCATAACTCTTTGTAGGCAGGCAGCAGGTTTTCATGTTGGTCCCTAATGAGCCTTTTATTAGCTGTGTGACCTCCAGCAAGTTACTGTATACTTCTGAATTATTGTCTCCTTTTCTGTATAATAAGGATGGTAGTAATTTTTGGCTTAGCACTGTTATGAAGTTAATTGTGATAATGCATGCTAAAGTGCCATGCATGGTGTTTGTAAATGTTGACAGTAAATAATGAATGAATTAATTAATTAATAGGCCATAACTACAAGGTGTATATAGCTTAATATAACACATAACAAATCATGTTAGTGTAATGGCTAAACCCAAAACACAATGACTCAGCAAGACAGACATTTCATTGTCTCCTAACCAGAGTGAGCAGGCAGGCAGTCCAAGACAGGTAGGTTGCTCTGTTCTGTGCCATCCAGGGCCTTTGTTCCTTCCATCTCGTTGCTCAGCTATTCCCTAGGGTAGTGTTGACTTCTGAATGGCCAGATTGTCTCATCACTACCACATTCACTTTGCAGCCCACAGGAAAGATGAAAAGAGGAAGTAGAAGGCAAGTAGCTTTTTAAAAAGATTGAGACTTGAAAGGTGCACATGGTACTCTGTTGAGTGGCCACATGTCCAGCTGAAACCTGGCAGGTCAGATTCATAGATACAAGAAGAGAAAAAGGAATGTAGGATCTGATTAACACTGCCTGTCTCACATACTTACCAACACTTATATTTAGAAATCAGCTTTAATCCTACCCAAAGACTGAGTGCTATCATGTACAGTTAATTGTGGTTTCAAATATATCTGCTTTATCTCCTCTCTAAATCAAGAGCTTCTCAATGGTTTGGATCTTACTTATTTCTTTTTGGGTGTCCTCCTGAGAGCTTAGCATAGGACCTGATGCATTGCAGCTGCTCAGTGTTGGTTGACTGACCAACTGACTGACTACAGTGTGCCTGGACTGGATGCTAAGTCAGCCTATACCAAGGCTTGTGAGCAATGATATAAGGGTGTGCCTTGACAGGAACATGGGTCCACTCCTCACTTAGATCGAAGCTGGCCCAGAGCATCCTGGGAGCCAGACTCTCCACATATTGAGCTTTTGGGAAACATCTGTCCACTTTCTTGCCCCATCTACCCAGAAAAGAAAGAAAAAATATTGAAACACTTGACTTTTTCCATTTTACAGATGAAAAAACTGAGGTCTGAGGTTCTAAGTTGTTAAGTAACTTGTTCAAAGGCACCTAAAGAGTTATTGCATCACTGAGATCACTATTCAGTTTTCCAAACTTATTAGTACCTTTTTTTCACCACCCCATTAGATTTCTTTTCTTTTTTTTTAAGAGACGGAGTCTCACTCTGTCGCCCAGGCTGGAGTGCAGTGGTGCAATTTCAGCTCACTGCAACCTCCGCCTTCTGGATTCACGCCATTCTCTTGCCTCAGCCTCCCGAGTAGCTGGGATTACAGGCACCCACCACCAAGCCTGGCTAATTTTTGTATTTTTAGTAGAGATGGGGTTTCACCATGTTAGCCAGGATGGTCTCGATCTCCTGACCTCGTGATCCGCCCGCCTTGGCCTCCCAAAGTGCTGGGATTACAGGCGTGAGCCACCATGCCCGGCCCATTCGATTTCTTAAACCAGATAAAAACAATGACAACAATAGTAAATGTTTTGCTTTTTATAATTTCTACCATGTTTCACATTCATGATCTCATTTAATCCTTATAACAGCTGTTGGAGATAGGATTGTTATTAATATGCCTTTTTAACAGACAGAAAACAGAAGTCCAAAGAAGTGATAAAATATTCCCTACAAAAAAGTGAGACTCTAGAACCTAAACTCAATTATTTGTATCTCAATCCTGCTGGGCTGCTACTGTGCAGATAAAATGATAAATACCAAAGCACCTTATAAACTATGGACCATCTCCAGTGTCTGGCATTATTATTAATGTGTTATTGCTGTGAGACCCAAATCTGCGCTTGAGTCCACAACTTGGGAACCCTGCAGTATATTTTAATTATAGCCACTTGATAATCCTGGGATGTTGAGGGGTCACTGTCCTATATCATGCCTAAGAGTCCTAAAGGAGGAGATTTCTCCAGACTCATGAATATTCATTGTAATGCTAAACCACAAACTGCATTTTCCTTCATTCACTATAATCAGATGCTCACTGCATTGCTCTCAAACCTTATAGTCACTAAGTGGATGGATCATAAGCATGTATTGTATTAGGTATCTCTGCTAGGGTTTTTTTCTCCCCATCACGTAGGGATTCCACAGTGCCTAAACATATCACTGGAGTAATGAAAAGCTACCATTTCTTTACTGGAAGCTTGGTAAGCAACTGTCTCTAGGGAGCCTCACACACTTTGCCAAGGGCTTCTCGAATTGGGCATTGCAGGGATTCCATCCTTTGATTCTTCAGTTTTAACAGTAGAGGTGCATAGTGTGGGGAAAAGCATTGCTGGTGATAGGTCTTTGCTACTCAAATGGTGTCCCTGGAGCAGTGGCACTGGTGTTACATGGGAGTTTGTTGGAAAGGCAGAATCTCAGGCTCTGCCCCAGACCCACAGAACCAGAATCTGCCTGTTAACAAGATCTTCAGCTGATTCATTTGCACTTTAAATTTGAGATGCATTGGGCTAGAAGACTTAAAAGGTTCTTATCCTCTAGTCTGCCCTTCACTTGCTGTTTAACTGTGGACAAAGCACTTAACTTATTTGAACCTCTGCCCTGCCTTTCTATAAAGTGAGAAGGTAAGGTGCAGACATTAGAAGTTCTAAGTTTGTTTTCAGAGAGGTGGTTTGCTCACAAATCGAATGCATCAAATATCAGCAAAAACTGTATCTTCCTTGAAATTTCTAATTTCTTTTCTCTTTGAAACAGTGACTCCAACACATTATTTGTTGTCAATATACAGCCGGCATCATGGCCCTCAATTTCCTGAAATGTGTTGAAATGCCCTGGGCTTAGGAGGACCTGTATCCCTCACTGAAACCAAACTCGGAATATCTAAACTTTATGCAAGGGAACCTCTAGGTGTAGAAGCAGAGAAGCCTGCACATTCAGCATTTCCTGGAGTTCTACTTCCTTCTGTTCATTTCAGTATTTGTGCTTATCATTACTGCTGTAGGTTTGGCCTTCTGTAAAAATCGCAGTCATATTCCCTCCCTTTATAGTGTTGTGTTAGATTCACACCAGGTAGACAAAATTAAAATTTTTTGGGAAGCTGGTTGTTCATTCAACATTTATTTAGGCCTTAATGTTCTCTTTAGATGCAGTTGCAGGTGGTGGGACAGAGCAGTGGTAAGAATACAGGCTTGGCCCTAATGAGACCTCAGTGGGAAAGCTGGCCTCATTCTTTACTGAATACATGCTGGGGTGTGTTCCTTGGCTACATGTGGTCTTACTTTCTGCATCTGTAAAAGGGGATAAACTTGCTTTGTGGAGAATGGCACAAATTTGTTCAACATCCTCAAGAAGCTTGCAGCCTAGTGGGGAGATTAAGTCTAGGTTTGGGGCAAGGCCATGGACTCTGCCTCCCCCAACTTGGATTGTTAAGATTTCTGGGAAGAAATTACCGCTAGGCTGAGACTTTAAGGACAAGGAAGAGTTGGTTAGATGAAAGCAAGAATAGAGAGCTGATGAAATTGAACGGAAATTTGTTTCTGAAAGAATGAACAGTGTCTAAAAGTTTTGAAGATGAGAGAGAACATCGTGGTTGAGGTAAGCTGAGTAAACCTAAATATACATCTAGCTCATCTCAGATAGTTCTTATGGGACATTCACTGGAAAGGAATGAATGTTTATCCCCTTAACCCACATTGGTATATTGAAGCCTACATCTCCAATGTGATGATACTTGAAGGTGGGACTTTGGGGACATAATTGAGTCATGAGGGTGGAGCGTCCACAAATGGGATTAGTGCCCTCATAAGGGGACAGAGAGACCAGAGCATGCTCTCTTTCTTTCTCTGTCTCTCTGCCATGTGAGAATATGAGAGAAGAAGGTCATCTGTGAACCAGATAGAGGGCCCTCACCAAGAACGTGGCCATGCTGGCACCTTGATCTCAGACTTTCAGCCTCCAGAACTGTGAAAAATAAATGTTTGTTGTTCAAAAGCTACCCTGTCTACGGTGTTCTGCTGTAGTAGTCCAAACTAAGATATTGACCTTATTAGAAATTTGTTTGAATAACATTGGAAAGTAATGAGTAACCAGGGGACATTGAAAATATTTAATAACTGGTTTGGCTCAGCATTGAGCAAGCAGAAGAGAAGCAGTTGGTACAAGAGGAGAGTCCAGGAGTCCCCAGAAGAGGCAGATGGCAGCCCTTTAGTTACTAAAGGCAAGGTGATCCTGAGGGAAGGACAGTGGCTGCAGGGTACCTCCAGGGGGCCTGGGGAAGGGGTTGGGTGGGTATTGACCAACAGGATAAATTGTTTTAGTACTGTAGGGTGTATTAGTCTGTTTTCACATGCTGTAAAGACACACTTGAGATTGGGTAATTTATAAAGAAAAGAGGTTTAATTGAATCACAGTTCTGCATGGTTGGGGAGGCCTCAGGAAACTTACAATCATGGCAGGAGGTAAGACAGAAGCAAAGGCACATCTTATGTGGCAGCAGGTGAGAGAGAGCGAACAAGTGAAGCGGGAAGAGACCCTTATAAAACCATCAGATTTCGTGAGAACTCACTCACTATCACGAGAACAGCATGGGGGGAACTGCCCCCATGATCCAATCAGCTCCCACTAGGTCTCCCTAGATACATGGGAATTATGGGGATTACAAGTCAAGATGAAATTTGGGTGCTGACACAGCCAAACCATATAATAGGGACGAATGTGATCCTACCAACACACTGCCTGGAAATTAGTCCTAGTAGCAACTGCATTTCACATTCTTTTAAAACCCTGTACTGAGCATTGATCCAAGTGCCAGTATCCCTATTGTACAGAAGAAGCTGCTAAAGTTCAGAAAGGCCCTGTGCCTTGACCAGAGTTACACACCCAGCAAGGGCTGGTCCCCAAATGTCTCTAACTCTAAATTCAGAACATCACATGAAAAGGAATTCCCATGAAAGTAGGACCTGATTATTTCTGCTTAGTGCAAGTCACAGCTAGAGGCCCAGAATGTTCTCTGAACATGGCACAGTCAGCTGGCCTCACTATGAGGGCATCTGAACAAGAGCTTAGCCCTGACTATAGGTAACATCATGCACAGGGCCCAAGGATACTGAACAAGCTGGCCAAGAGGCATGCCGGCAGCTAGGGCCCTAGTGTCCTCCTCCTCCTGAAACAGAAGGGAACAGAGGAACCACATCAGACAGGGGAACTGCAGGGCCTGCTCCAGGACATCAGCTCCTCCAGATACTAGTAAGGAAGGGCCAGTGAGGAGCAAGAAAGGAAGATTTGAGTCCTTCAGCCTGTTGACCTAGCTTGGGTACTGTTGCAAGTCCAGCAACAACAGGTTTTGAAGCTGTTATTTTTTTCAGTTGGGGATGCTATTTTGCCCAGAGCACTTTAAGTGGCTAGGGGCTTTATAAAAGCTCTGTCTCTTAGTACTGGCTCTGTTCCTAGACTGTCTCCAGACCACTTCCCAAGTCCCTCCCTCTATCTCCTCTTGTTCCCTGCCTCTTATTGGTATCCCCACTTGCCTCCCTTGGTAGCTGTGTTCCCAGTGGCCACTGGGAGTTCCCAGTTGCTCTAGATTCCCATGGCCTATTACAGAAATGCAACTCTAGCTCAGCTTTGCCTTCTCTCATGAGCATAGTTTGGCTTTTCATCGTCTAGTAAAAAATGTGGAATGCTAGCTAAGAGATTCTAGACTGGACTAACTTGGCAGGGATAACTGATCAGATCAATTTCAGGCTGCTCCCACCACTCTTCACCCTGCATCCCCAGCAAACACTTAGGAGGAATCCCGTTGGGTCCCTTCCCTCCTTGGCTCACCCCACAGACCTCATCACATAGTCCCAAGATCAGTAATATTTATTTGTGCCTCTTATAAATACTTACCAAGCACCAACTATGTGCCAGACCCAATTTAAAGCACAGGAATACAGAGATAAACAAGACAAGGCATCTGCTTTCCTGGAGCTTATGCTACAGTCAGGCAGATCAGCAAGCAGAAGTTAAAAAAAAGACAACCCCCCAGCGCCCAAAGGGAGCTGACAAAGGGAAGAGTTGGTGCAAAGGCCCTGAGGTGAGAACAAGCCTGGCTGTGTCACAGAAGAGAAAGGAGGCCAGTGTGGCTGGAGCAAAGACTCCTGGCAGCAGAATGAAGAGTGTCAGATGAAATTGGATGGCTCAGCAAGACACCAAATGTGATGGTGTTTTAGGCCCTCACAGAAAGTTTGTATTTAATTATAAGAGTGATTGGAAACTGCTAATGGATCTGAGTAGGTGGGTGACATCATTAAAGTATTTATTTCTATTTTAAACAACAGTGCGAGACTCCATCTAAAAAAAATAAATAAATAAAAATAACATGATGCCAGCACTTTGGGAGGCTGAGGCAAATGGATCACCTGAGATCAAGAGTTCGAGACCAGCCAGGCCAACATGGCGAAATCCCATCGCTAATAAAAACAACAAAAAGAAAAAAAAATTAGCTGGGCGTGGTGGCGGCTGCCTGTAATCCCAGCTACATGGGAGGCTGAGGCAGGAGAATTGCTTGAACCCAGCAGGCGGAGTTTTCAGTGAGCTGAGATCATGCCACTGCACTCCAGCCTGGATGATGGAGCAAGACTCTGTCTCAAAATAAAAAAAGTAATATGGATTACAATCCAATGAAGAGGCAGAAGAGGACCAGGAAGACGGGTTGGAACCATCAGGCAACAACTGATGGTGTCTTGGACTGAGGGAGGCAGATGAATGGATCAACTCAGTAAATAGCCTGAGTTAAATGTGGCTGAGGCCTGGGCTCCAGCCGAGGATCACAGAAGGAAAATCAATTAGCAAACATGTGAGTTACTGCTGTGTGAGTCTTCCATTCTCAAGGCTGATTATTTATTGAAGGGCTCCTGCCTTCCTTGGAATAACCCGCCTGTAAGGCTTTATATTTCACAGAGCAGTTGCCTTTGAGATCCCAAAACAATGTGCCTATTTTCTAGATGAGAAAACCAAGGTTCAGGATGATCAAGTGACAGTCCCAAGGTCACACTTCAGGATAGATATGAAGCCTGTGATGAAAAGCAGGTCATCTGACAATTGAGCCCATCCTTTTCTTTTTACATTTTTCTTTAACATTAGGCCATTGCAAAAATTGAGATCTGCTTTAAGTTTCCTCCTCCACTTGCCAACTCAAGCAGAGTAGTCCCCAGCATTTTCTGCAGCCATAGACAGCCTGATCCGTCAGGGAGCTTCCAGGAAGAATCTGTCTAGGGCATCTAGGGCAGCTTTTTATGCACTCGTTTTTTGTTGTTGTTGTTGTTGTTGTTTGTTTTTATTTCCTGATGGTGATTCCTGGTTGTGACCCCTCAACTGACCTTAGCAATGTGATTAAACCACTTTGTGACTCTCTTTCCTCATCTGTAAAATGGGAATACTAATGCCTTCTCCCAGAATCATTGTAAATATTAATGTGGTGAATCCAGAATTAGGTTGGCATTGAATAAATGGTAATTCCCCTTTTCTCCTTCTCCTAACACTGACCCGCAGACATTTACTACCTAGCAGTAACATTGTTTTCATTTAATAATCTGAAATGAAGATAGACACCATTAAGCAATTACCATAATACTACTTGACATTTATTGAACACCAGATCATGAACTGTGACAAATATTTTACAGTTGTTAACCTCAATTAATTCGCACAAAATCTCCATGAGGTATCTATTAAGATTATTATCCCCATTTTACAGATGCAGAAAGAGAGGTTTAGTGGGACCAAACAACTTAATAGAGGCCATACAGCTGGAAAGTGATAGATCCAGGAGTCAAATCCAGTCCCTCTGCTTTCTGAACAGATGCCCCTAACCACTAAACCCTCCTTCTTCTCATGGCAAGACTAGCTGTATGTTACAAGTGCCAGGTTTCCTCACTAATTATCCTCTGTGGCAGGCGTTAGCATCAGGGCTTAAACTGGTGGCAGGAGATGTATATCTCAATTAGGCTTTGAGTTTAACTTCCAGAGATGGAACAAGAGACTGAGTCTTAGAAGTTGCTAAGTGAGTGAAACTGAAACAGCCAGAAATGGCTTGCCTTAGGGGAGACAGACTCATTGCTTCCCAGGTCACAGCAATTTTGTTTCGTCTCTTTGGCAGAATGCTGAGCCAGCAGAAGTCGTACCTCTGTCTTACAGTTCGCTCAGAAGGAAACTTTAAAGAGTCTTGAAAATTTGAGGCAAATGCAGAGAGAAAGATCCATGGCACAATGTCTACTGTCGCAGCGTAACCCTACTGCGCGGTGAGGAAGTACCGTGGCATGGCCTCAGAATACGAGCCTCAGAGTTAGAATGACGTAGATTCAGATCCTGGGTTCATCAGGTCCTGGTCTTGGGCAAGTCAGATGCTTTATCTATGAAAAATTCCCTCAATACTGGACAACAGAGTTTTAGAGAAGGTTAAACTATAATAGATCAAGTTAAATGCTAGGTATTTAGCACATAGTGATCACTGAATAAATGCTAGTTCCTGGGGTTAACACATGTAAAGTGCTTGGAAGGATCCTTGGCACATAAGCATACTATAACAGCAATGCTTATTATTACCTTAGTGCTATCAACATCGGCAGGACACAACTTTTCTTTCTAACTCTCTAATTTAGCACACCTCTAAAAATAATACAACTAGAAATATAACTCCCTGAAAAATTCTGTGGTTCATAGATGTTCCACTTAAATTATTTTCAGATAACTTTTAAGTCTTTTCAAATTCCATTTTCTCACAATGAGCTACCACTACACTCTCCCCACCAAATGGCTAAAATTAAAAAGACTAGGGCCGGGCGCAGTGGCTCACGCCTGTAATCCCGCACTTTGGGCGGCCAAAGTGGGTGGATCACGAGGTCAGGGGTTTGAGACCAGCCTGACCAACATGGTGAAACCTCGTCTCTACTAAACACACACACACACACACACACACACACACACACACACACAATTAGCTGGGCTTGGTGGCGGACGCCTATAATCCCAGCTACTCAGGAGGCTGAGGCAGGAGAACTGCTTGAACCTGGGAGGCAGAGGTTGCAGTGAGCCAAGATCGCGCCACTGCACTCTAGCCTGGGCGACAGAGTGAGACTCGGTCTCAAAAAAAAAAAAGACTGACCACATCAAATCAAATATTTTCAAGGATATGGACTGTTAACTCTCATACATTGTAGATGGTAGTATAAAACGGTACAACTGCTTTGAAAAAGGACCTGTTAGTTTCTTATAAAACTGGGACTGTATCTACCCAATGACCCAGCAGTTCTGCAACTTGCTGTTTACCAAAGAGAAGGAAAACATACCTGTAAAAGATTTTTACAAGAATATTTATAGCAGACCTGTTTATTCCAGCAAAAGCTAGAAATAGATCATGTGTTCATTAGTAAGAGGATAAGCAAACTGTGGTATATTTATATAAATGAATATTCATCAATAATAAAAAGGAACAAATCATTGATACATGCAATATATGGATAAATCTCAAAAATATTATGCTGAGTGAAAGAAGCATTACACAGAAGAGTACTTACAATATGATTCCATTTATATGAAGTTCTAGAAAAGGTAAAACCTATTGTAAAAAAAAAGGAGACTTCTGGTTTTCTACTGGCATGTGAGAAGCTTAGAAGATGCCACTTTATCCTAACAACAAGTAAAAAGCTGAACAAACTGAAAAAATCAGCAACTCTTCTTATATCCATAAGAGATGTGAGGTCACTGCCCCTCAGATTGGAAACACAGGTAGGCAAATGCAGAGAATTGCAACTTGTAGGAGCAGAAAGCTCCACTGGAACCAGGGCCAGCATAGGAAATCCTGAATTGTAATTGATAAATTGTTGGAGTTTCAGTGTGGACAACTCTGAGAGTTATAAACCTTATAGGGTACCATTCAAAGGGAGACTCCACACCTTTGTGGGTTTTATCTCTAATAACTCTGCCTGGTTTTTATAGTGTATATGGGAGAAAAACCTCCTAGTGCTTTTGTCAGGGAGAGAAGAAAAGGAGCCATTTTGAAAAATGCCAGGGCATTCTGTTCTTCCTAATAAGATCTGCCCTCATAAGAAACCGTTTAACCAGAGTCTAACATGGGGTTTTATGAGAGCCTAACTGACCTGGGGAAAGGAAAATACTCAATTCCAATCCCCAACTATATTTTGTCTACAAGAAACCCATTTTACATATAAAGATACAAATAGATTAAAAGTAAATGGACATAGAAAGACAAACCATGCTAACACTAATCAAAGGAAAGTGGAAATCAATGTGTTAATTTTGGGCCTAGCAGATTTTAGAGCAAGGAAAGTTATCAGGGATAAAGTGGGTCATTACATAATAGTAAAGGGATAAATTCTCCAAGAAGACATAATGATCCTTAACGTACAGGCACTCAACAATAGAATATCAAACTACATAAGATAAACACTGATAGAACTTCAAATAGAAATAGATGAATCCACTATTGTAATTGGAGCCTTTAATACCCTTCTATCTGACCAACATGGTGAAACCCCGTCTCTACTAAAAATACAAAAAAAAAAAAAAAATTAGCTGGGCTTGGTGGCGGGCACCTCTAATCCCAGCTACTCAGGAGGCTGAGGCAGGAGAATTGCAGGCAAAAATTTAGTAAGAACATAGTTGAAGTCAAAAAATGCCATCAATCAACTGAATATAATTGACGCATATAGACTACTTTATCCAACAACAGCAGAATATATATTCTTGTCAAGTTCACATAAAACATTTACCAAGATGGAAAATATTCTGGGCCATAAAACAAACTTTAACGAATTTAAAAGAATGAAAATCATACAATCGATATCTGCTCTCAGAACACAGAATTAAACTAGAAATCAATAGCAGGAAAACTGAAAATACATGGAGATTAAACAACACACTTCTAAATAACACGAGTCAAAAAATCAATCTCAAGAGAAATTTAAAAATATTTTTAACTAAATAAAAATAAAAACACAACTTATCAAAATTTGTGGGTTGCGGTGAAAGCTGTGCTTAGAGGGAAATTTGTAGCATTGAATGCATATGTTAGAAAAGAAGAAAGATCTAAAATTAATAAAAGCTTCCACTTTAGGGAAACAGAAAAGGGAAATAAAATTAAAGCCAAATTAAGCAGAAGAAAGGAAATAATAACAATAAGAGCAGGAATCCATGGAATAGAAAACAAGAAATTAATAGAGAAAATCAACCAAACCAAAAACTTTTTCTTTGTAAAGATCAGTAAGATCGAAAGCCTGTAACCAGGCTAACTGTGGAAAAAAGACAAAGGACACAAATTGCAAATATAAGAAATAAAAGAGGAGATATCACTAGAATCCCATGGACATTAAAAGGATAACAACAGAATACTAGGAAGAATTCTGGGCCTACAAATTTGATAGCCTAGATGAAATGGATCAACTCCGTGACAGACACCATTTGCCAAAACCCACACAAGAAGACACAATCGATCCAAGTAGGCCTATATTTGTTAAAGAAATTGAATCAACAATAACCTTGCGAAACAGAAGGGACCAGGCCTAGATGGATTCACTGGTGAATTCTACAACTTAAGGAATAAATTATAACAGTTTCTCTACAATCTTTTTCAGAAGATAGAACCAGAGGATATATTTCCCAACTCATTTTATGAAGTCACCATTACCCCAACACCAAAATTAGACAAAGAGATTACAAGAAAAGAAAACTATAGACCAATATCACTCATGAGCATGATGAGATGTAAAAATCCTCAACAAAATATTAGCAAACAGAACCCAACAATGTTTAAAAAGAATCACACACCGCAATCAAGTAAGATTTATCCTAAGTATGCAAAGCTGATTTAACATTCCAAAATGAAATAACATAATCCATCACATCAGCTAGCTAAAGAAGAAAAATTACATGGTCATATTAATCAATACAGAAAAAGCATTTGACAAAATCCAATGTCTATTAAGGATAAAAACTGTCAGCTACCAATAGACAGAAACTCCCTCAATTTGAGAAAGAATATCCATGAAAAACCTACAACTAACATGATACTTAATGGTGAGAATCTAGAAGCCTTCTCACTAAGATCAGGAACAAGACAAGGATGTCCCTTTTCACCACTCTCTTTCAACATCATATTAGAAGTCCTAGCTGATGCAATAAGAAAAGAAAGAACAAAAGGTAAACTGATTGGGAAGAAAGAAAGAACTGTCTTTGTTTGGAGATTATGTAATAATCTATGTAGAAAATCCAAAAGAATTGACAAAAAATCTTCTGGAATGAAGAATTATAGCCAGGTTGCAGGATCTAAGTTAATATATGAAGTGAATTACTCTTCTATGTACCAGCAGTGAACAAACAGAATTTGAAATTAAAAACACAATATCAATTAGCACACCTAAAAAATACTTAGTTGTAAATCTGACAAAAAATAACAAAATCTATATAAGAAAAACTATAAAACTCTGATGAAAGAAATCAAAGAGTAAATAAATGAAGAGATACTTCATGTTCATGGCTAGGAAGACTCAATGCTGTCAAGATGTCAGATCTTCCTAATATGATCTACAGATTCAGTGCAATCCCAATCAAAATCCCAGCAAGTTATTTTGTGGATATTGACAAATGAATTCTAACATTTATATGGTGAGGCAAAAGACCCAGAATAGCCAACACAATATTGGTGGAGAACAAAGTGAAGTACTGACACTTGTCAACTTCCAGTCTTACTATAATGCTACAGTAATCAAGACAGTATGGTACTGGTGAAAGATTAGACAGATCAATGGAACAGAATAGAAAGCCCAGAAATGGACCCACATAAATATACTCAACTGATCTTTGGCAAAGGCAAAGCAATGGAGAAAAGATAGTCTTTTTGACACAAGATGCTAGAACAACTGGACATCCACCTGCAAAAAAAGTGAATCTAGACCCAGACTTTATACCCTTCACAAAAATTTTAACTCAAAATGGATACAGACCTAAATGTAAAATTCACAACTATAAAGCTTCATGTAATGGTTTAAATGTTTGTTCCCTCCAAACCTCAAGTTGAAATTTAGTCCCCAGTGTGGAATATTGGGAAGGGCACCTGGTGGGATGTGGTTGGGTCCTGGGGGTGGATCCCTCATGAATGGTTTGATGCCATTCTTAAGGTAGTAAGTGAGTTCTCACTCTTGCAAGACCAAACCAATTCTGGGGGTATGCACTAGTTCCTGGGAGAGTGGGTTGTTATAATGTCAGGGTGTGCATCAGGCATGATCCCTCTTTGTACCTGCATGCTTCCCCTTGGACCTTTTCTACCATGTTTTGATGCAACACAAAAGCCCTCACCAGAAGCCAAGGAGATGCCCACACCATCTTTCCCATATGACTTGTAGAACTATGGGCTAACTAAACCTGTTTTAAAATTACCCAGACTCAGATATTCCTTTATAGCAACATAAAACAGACCAATACACTCCTAGAAGATAACATAGGAAAAAATATAGATGACCTTGGGTTGGGCAATGACATTTTAGCTGTGACAGCAAAGACATGGTTTACAAAAGAAAGAATTCATTAGTTAGACTTTACTAAAATTAATTTCTGCTCTGTGAAAGACACTTGTGAAAAGAACAAGAACAAAACATGGACTGAAAGAAATTTGCAAAATAAATATCCATTTATGAACATATTTGAAACACATTTGTTATCCAAAATATGCAAGAAGTCTTAACACTCAATAAGAACACAGACAACCCAGTTAAATATGAGCCAAAGACCTTTACATACATCTCACCAAAGAAGATACACAAATGGTAAATACACATATGTAAAGATGGTCCACATTGTATAACAAAGGAGAATACAAATCGAGACAATGAGATACCACTGCACACCTATTGGCATGGTCAAGTTCAGAACTCAGGGACTACTAAATGCTGGAGAGGATTTGCAACAACAAAAACTCTCATTTATTCCTGGTGGGAATGCAACATGGTATAGCCACTTTGGAAGCCCGCTTGGCAGTTTTTTTACAAAACTAAACATGCTCTTAGCATTTGACCCCGCAATTGTGCTCCTTGACTTTTACTCAAATGAGTTGAAAACACACAGTCACACAAAAACTTACACATGGATGCTTATAGCAGCTTTATTCCTAATTGCAACCAAGATGTCCTTCAGTTGGTGAATGAATAAAAATCTGTGTTACATCCAGATAACGAAATATTATTTGGTGTTAACAAAAATGAGCTCTTAAGCTACAAAAAGATATGGAGGAAACTTAAATGTTTATTACTAAGTGAAATGAGCCAATGTGAAAAGGCTACGTACTTTGTGATTTCAACTATATGGCATTGTGGAAAAGGCAAAACTTTGGAGACAGTAAAAAGATAGAGGTTGGTAGTAGGTATAGGTGAATATGCAGAGCACAGAGGATTATGCTGCACGTATTCACAGCAGTGAAACTACTTTGTATGAAACTGCACTGGTAGATACAAGTCCTTATGCATTCATCAAAACCCATAAATGTGCAGCACCAAAAATGAGCCCTAATGTAAACCGTAGTCTTTGAGTAACAGTGATATATCAGTGCAGGTTCATGAATTGTAACAAATGTACTTCTCTGGTGGGAGATATTGATAATGGGGGTGGCTATACATGTATGGGGGTGGAGAGTATACGGGAAATCTCTGTACCTTCCTCTGAATTTTATTGTGAACCCAAAACTGCTCTAAAAAATAAAGTCTATTAAAGAAATAAAATAGTGGTTGCCTCTCGGGGGATAGGGCTAGAGTCTGAATGGGAATGTGCTTGAGGAACTTTTTGGGCTGATAGCAATGTTTAACGCCTTGATAAGGACTTTGATCGTGCAAGTGCTGTATGTATATGTCTTTGTAAAAATTCAGTGAGAATGTTCACATAGAATTTGTGCATTTCATTGTATATAACTTTTACCTCAAAAGAAAAGAAAACTGGAAACAAATGTTGAACTCCAGTTAATGATATTCATACTGAGATGTTTAGGGGAAAGTGTATAGATGTCTGCATTCAATTTAAAATGCATGAAAAAATAACATGGATTGGTGGATGGCAATAGAGATTGGATAGATGAGTACACATATGATAAAATACAAATTGTAAAATATTTAGTAGTGAGTGTGTGGGTGTTCATGAAAATATTCTTCTGTGTGTTTGAAAGTTTTTATCATGTTGGGGATAAAAAAGAGTTCCTTAAACAATTAGTAGCCTTCTAAACAAAGAGATGATTATAATGGTCATATTGGAAGCCTGAAAGGTATGCATTGTTTTAAGGAATGTACTTTCGGGTTTGTTATTAGGTCTTAAGTTTGTAAGCCCTGACTTAACATAACAAGTCGCTATAAATCAGAATGCAACGTGATTTAGTGAAAGAATGGCAGTTCACAACCTTGCCTTCTAGTGCTGCTAGATAAGCTTTTGCCACTGATTTGCTTCATTGCATAAATGGTTGGTTTTTTGTTTTGTTTTTTTGATTTTTTAAATTGAGACAGAGTCTTGCTCTGTCACCCAGGGTGGAGTGCAGTGGTGCGATCATGGCTCACTGCAACCTGTGCAACTTGGATTTCCCTAGAAGCTCAGGTGATCCTCCCTCCTCAGCCTTCCAAGTAGCTGAATGGTTGGTTCTTTCAAGCCTGGTGGTTATGGTTCACTTACCCTTCTGCAGAGTCAATAAGGGAGACTGAGACTGAAGCTATCACTCAAGGGGGCAGCTGTCCTCTGTTCTCGAATCTCAAACTCCCCAGGGAAGATTGCCATAGAGTTGCAGATAGGTGCCTTCTTTATGAAATGAAGAGAATTAGCAAGGTCTTTGTGTACAAGAAGGAAACTGTCATGGGTGTAATGCTTATTATGAGCTTCATTTGTGGTCATAAGGTGGTCATCATCAACCACATTTGACAGATAAGGAGACTGATGATCAGAAAGTTTAATTTATTTGCCTATAGTTGCAGAACTAGGGAGTAGCAGAGGTGGGACTTGAACCTAGCTTGCCTTGTTCCCAAGTTCATAACCTCCTGTCACTTAAGGCTGCTAGGAAGGGAGATGTCTTATAGGGGATTTAGAATCCAGAATGCTGTTCTGTGAGAAACTATATTATCAAAGGTAATTGACTGTAATGGAAAGTATGCCTTTATCCCTGTAACTTTGCAATTTGGAGCTGAGTGGGAAGCTTTCCTAGGAATCTAACCCTTTTGAACAACATTATTTTGAGAAGATTCAATGTCCCATGATATCAGTTCATGACTACAAACTTGTTAGACAAGGTTTTGTAAGTAGAGGCCATCTGTAATAGTCATATCTGACACTTGTATATGTGGCTTTGCTATTTGCAAAGTGTATCTGTATTCTTGTTTGAGTCTACAGCCATCCTGTGACAGGAAAAACAAGAACAGGATCATTATTTCCATTTGATAAATGCTAAGGAGATTGAGAGAGAGAGATCCAGAAGTTTGCCTAATGTCACAGAGTTGGGCTAGGGACAGAGGCATATTGAGACTCCAAGGCCCTTGACACCTTGTTCAACATGGCTCACACCTCACCTGTTTTTTTTCCCACTTTGGCTCCAGGCCCCTAAGTCCAGGCTAATTTACATGTGAAACCTGCAAGTTCTTGGTAGGTGACCAATATATAATGTGTAGCTAATGAGATAAAGTATAGTTTCACTTCTGTTACAAATGAAAGGGAACTCTCAAGGGTATCATAAAATCTGGCCTTTCTCAGTGGAACTCAGAGAGTTTTATGGACGTCAGGAAACAATCCATCCTCACAATGGACCAGTATACCTGGGAACTCCCATTGTCCTCGCCATTCTGTGGAGAAGGAAAGAACATTAAGTGATTTGGCCCAGGGTCACTGGCACCCAGGCCGTCAATCATATAGTCTCAGTGGCAGAGCAAGGAATGGAACTGTGACTCTTGGGTAACCATCCATGGGAACATGCTTCAGCTATCACATCGTGTAATGTATTTTTAAATACCCCAAAGAGTTCTTGTCGAGAAGCAGAAATGGACCTCCCATATGATGGCCTTAAGGCTCTTCAGCTAGCCCCTGTCCAAGGTCAAAAGGAAGTCAGGGTAGGCCCAAGAGAAACCCCAGACCTGTTTAAATCAAGCCTTTGCTCATCAGTCTGTGAGCGTTTATATGTTTTAATCTGTGCTATAGTATCTTGTGGAATGACTGCCTCCTCCATCCCCCTCCTCCACAATCACACCTTTGCTTAAGAGAAATAATCTTGGGAGAGTGAGAAAGGGTGTTTAGTCTAGCCTGCCATTAACTTAGGTATTGTCCTTGGGTGAGTCATTTTCCGTCTTTGGGCCTCAGTTTACTCCTCTGGAAAATGACAGAATTGGACCAGATGATGGATATTCTTTATAACTATGAAAGAAGAAAATCCTTATGAAGAGAACTTGTATTTTCTAGTCTGAAACTCTGTGAGAGCAATGTCTGTGCTCTGTTTTCAGTGGCCCCAGTATCTAGAGTCTAGTTTCTGACACATAAATGTGGCTTGATAAATGTTTAGAGAGTGAATAAAAATGGCACAGCCCCTTTGCTTAGGATGAGCAATGTTACCATAAATTCTGTATGAAGCGTGCATGTATTTCAAGTGTGACCCATTGCATGCTGGAAACGCTGGTTGTTAATCATCTTAGAGACCTGTCAGAATATAACCAGTGGCTTGAAAAGGTTCTCATGACATAGAAGGCCAAGGCTTTTTCTCTGTTACCCCAGAGGTCTGAACAATGACTGATGTACAAAGTTAGAGAGTGACAGTGAAACTCAACACATACTCTTCTAATGGTGATAGGCACTTCATAGGTTAATTTTTGCAGTAAGGAGTAAAGATCTTGATAAGAGACAGAATGACTGCTAGTTATTAGAAGAAAAGCTGAACTTGATGACCTGAGTTTCCTTTTGAGCCCATTATTCTGTATTTAACAACCTGATTTTTATGTGAAAAGTGCACAGATATTCGTCTTAGAAGATATTGCTGTGGATTCTACTCTGAAACTTATTCATCAAGTGACTTTAAGTAAATCCAATACAAATACTATTAATAACTAATACAATTTATGGTGATAATAATAATTATTGGCATTTACTGAGAGACTGTATATGTACTTTGTTAACTTTTTTTTAAAACCTTACATTAACTCATCTAATCCATTTGAAGGAGGATCAATTATTAATATCCATCAGACGAGTAAACTGATACATAGAAAATGTAACTTGGATGGGTGCAGTGGCTCCACCTGTAATCCTAGCACTTTGGGAGACTGAGGCCAGAGGATCATTTGAGGTCAGGAGTTTGAAATCAGCCTGGCCAACATAGTAAAACCCCATCTCTACTAAAAAAAAAAAAAAAAAAAAAATTAGCCAAGTGTGGTGGTGGGTGCCTGTAATCCCAGCTACTCGGGAGGCTGAGGGAGGAGAATTGCTTGAATCCAGGAGGCAGAGGTTGCAGTGAGCCGAGATTGTGCCACTGCACTCCAGCCTGGGCAACAAAGCGAGACTGTCTCAAAAATAAATAAATGAAAAAAAATGTAACTCATCCCTGGTCCCCCAGTGAGAAGCTAGGAGATTCAGGGGTTCACCTTCATGACTGTCTGACTCCAGAGTTGGAATTCTTAATCAGTAAAATTCTGTTCCTCAGTTTATTTGCTTATAAAATTGAGATCATAGTATCTGATCATTCTTACTGGGTAGTTAACATAAGTCAAATGTTATAAGTTTCAAGTTGTTTGTCTCTTCCATCCGATAGTCAGCTCCTTGAGGTGCATGGCTCATCTGGATGTCCTTCAAAGAGGCTGATTCATAAACAGTGGTGCTCATTAACTCTTTGCTGAATACATACATGAATTAATGGGGAGAATAATAAGGAACTGTTTTATGAGGAGTCAAAGTGCTATACAAAGGTTATTTACTTGTTTTTTGATGTTTAAAATTTGTATTCAGCCTTGTCTAACACCTTTTGAACCTGTAAGGTGGGCATAGAAAAAAAGCTACTTGCTAGTCCAATGGCTTTAATGCCCAAATGTTTGTCTGTTATAAGTGTTTCTTTCTAATTCTTCTCACTTCGCTTGGATTGTGTTTGACTTGCATTTGCATGAAATTTGGAAGTGAAAATTATGGCCTGTGTTTGCACTTTCTTCATTTCTACTAATATTATATTTCATGTTCAGGAGGCATTTATTATTAATGCTATTTCTGGTAGAAGGAGAAACCGAAGTGTTTAACACTTAACAACCTACAAAGTCTTCATAAAGACCTTTTGAGGTTCTTGTTTCAGCCCTGTTATATCCACGACAACATTGAGACACAGGCTCATTCCCTGCTTTTGTTCCTTCCTTCATTCATTCAGCATGGCTCAGGAACTGTAACAGTTTCCAACCTGTGACTTCACTTCAGACTTAGTCTCTGCCCTAAAGGGATTTTGTGGAGGACAGCTTAGAGTTAAGTAAGGGGGAGCAATTTTTAACTTGTGTAACAAATTGCTAATTGCCAGTAATAGATACAGGACTACAACCCTAACTGCAGCCTAATGTTTGCCACTATTGATATCCCCAGGTCATAGACACTGACATAGAGAGGTGTGCCCTGCCATACTGATGCAATCAATTTGGTGGTCCCACCTTTCTCACCAGCTGGCTCCTGGGCGTTTGATCACATATGGCCAATCTGTTTAGATAATATACATAACACACGTTGCTAGGATACATACTTTCTCATTCCATTCTTATTTTCAAGCAAAATCATTTCCCACCTCTATTTGATATCGGCAGGAAATTCCTGGTTGAGCTCTTTTATACAAAACTGTGAAAAGCCTGTAGACCTCCTTTCCTGTTCCATCTCTTTATAGACAGAAGAGTCAGCTTCAGGATGATGACTTACTTGACATGGGGTTATTCTAGGGTTTCAACCTGAGTCTCCAGTCTCTCTCTCCATTTTCTAAATTGTCTTCCCCCTTTCTGTCCAGACAAGCAGAAGGAAGGAAGGAAAAGGAGGAGGCAGGGAGGGAGGGAGGGAGGAAGAAAGAAAGGGAGGAAGAGAAGAAAGGAATAGAAAAGAGCTGTAGTCAAAAAGAGATTAAGAATATAAAGAGAAATAGGGTCTTTAAAACTTTTCAAATCTTTTTTTTTTTTTTTTTTTTTTTGAGATGGAGTCTCGCTTTGTCACCCAGGCTGGAGTGTAGTGGCGCGATCTCGGCTCACTGCAAGCTCTGCCTCCCGGGTTCATGCCATTCTCCTGCCTCAGCTTCCCGAGTAGCTGGGACTACAGGTGTCAGCCAGCACGCCCAGCTATTTTTTTTGTATTTTTAGTAGAGACGGGGTTTCACTAAAACTTTTCTAATCTTTTATTATGCTTCTCAAAATCATATTCTTTCACAAGGGGTTATCATTTGTGCATTTTCCAACTTACCCATGGAACATTTTTTCGGGGAACAAACAGGAACATCTCGTAGGATGGAGGTTCCTCAGGGCAAAGTTACTCCAGATACTAGGCTCCCAAGCTGTGTACTCTGTTCAGCTTCCTTTTTCTCTGTTTTAATTTCTTTTTCTCTCTTGTACAATGATTCCTAAACTTCCTCCCTTCCTTCTTCCCCTCCTTTCTTCTTTCCTTCCTTTCTTCCTTCTACACATCCTTCATTTCTTCTACACATCCTTCATTTCTTCCTCTTCCTTCCCTTCCTTTCCCTCCCTTCATTTTTCTTCCCCTCCTTTTCTACCTACTTAATGGCAGGCCTGTACTGGCTGCTGCAGAGACTCATAATTGAAACTGAGCCCACAACTTTGAAGAACTCATTGTGGTTTGCTTTCTAATGATGGGAGATAAAATGACACAGATGAACCAACATTGTCAGGAGGGGAATATTACCATTTAGAAGAATGAGGCAAGATGAGGGAATAAAGAGAAATGGGGTGCTATTTTGTAAAGGTGAGGAGGAAAAGGATAGGGTGATATTTAAGGAAGTGAGAGCCAGCCAAATGATTTTATATGGGAAGTTCCTTTCAGGCTGAGGAAAGAGTGAATACGAAGGTGAGGGTTAGCTCAAGAAACACCACGGAGGGGGCCGGTGTAGCTGGAGCAGAAAGATCAAGAAGGGAGAAGTTAGGAGATGGGTTCAAGGGGATGGCTGTGGCCACAGCCATTGGGGTCCTTAGAGGCCATGGTGGGAATTTTGTTTTGTTACTGCGTTAGATAAAAAGCTACTGGGCAATTTTAAGCAGAGGATTTCCTGCTTTGACAGGTTTTTAAAAAGTTTGGTTGGGCTGCTTTCTCGGTGGGGAAGAGACCAGTGGGAAGTCTGGTAGAGAGATTCCCCTGAGAGATGACAGTGGTTCAGCTCAGGATGGTGGCGGCAGAGGTGGCAAGAAGTGATCTGATTCTGGATCTATGTCAAAAGTACAGCAGACAGGATCTGTTGGTTACTATGCAGAGAGAAAGAGGAGGTGAAGACAGCTCTGAGGATTGGCCTTGTGGCCTGGGCTGCCACTTACTGAGACAAGGAGAGGGATGTGTTTCTGCTCCCCTGGAACTTAATGTCTAGTTAGGGAGTCAACATCTTTATGATGCTTATATTTCTGTGGCTATAAAAGGAACACATCCTCCTGGTAAAAACAATTAAAATAATATAAAAATGCTTACAGTAAAAAGTTACTTGACTGATTTCCTTCCCAAGTGGCAAATACTATTCCAATCTCTTCCATATTTTTCCAGCCACAGTCTGAGAATATACACGTGCATGGGTTTACATATTATATTCACTTTTTTAATACAGTGCTCCAGAGTGTATGCCCTCTACTGCAGCTTACTTTTTCCACTAAATAATATATCTTAAAGATCAGACTATACCAGTACATATAGAAATACTTCATTTTCCTAACAATGTAACAATATATTCCATTTTATCACCATATTATGATGTATTTAATTAATTCCCAATGAACATCATTAAGGTCGTTTCCAGTATTCTTAAATTACTAATGATGTGGTAATGAAAATATCTTTGAACATATGTATTATACACACGTGGAAGTAGATCTGTAGAATAAATACCTAGAAGTAGAATTTGTGGCTCAGAAGGGATGGGTATATTTAAATTGTTGGTAGATAGGGCCCCTGTGTGCATCAAAAGGGTTGTGCCAATTTATAGTCCCAGCAACAATCCAAAGTGGTACCTGTCAGGGAGAAAGCCTTTATGATAACAGTGATACTAATGATGCCTTATACATATGCAGTACTTTATAAATACCAAAATGCCTTGCTATCTATTATTTTATTTAGTCTCCAAAACAGCTCTAGGAAGTAGGTATTTTGTACATGAGGATGTGGAGCCTTGGAGAGATTAATAATTTGTCTAGCTGCTAAGTAGTGGATCTGGGATTTGAACCTAAGTCTCCGAGATGACAAAGCCTGACTCCACGTCGGACTGCTTGAGGACTGCTTGAACCCAGGAGTCCAAGACTAGCCTGGGCAACATGGCAAGACCCTGTTTCAAAAAAAAGAAAATTAAAACATTAGTCAGGTGTGGTGGTGCACACCTGTACTCACCAGCTACTTGGGAGGCTGAGACAGGAGGTTTGTTTGGACCCAGAAGGTCCAGGCTGCAGTGAGCCATGTTCACACCACTGCACTCCAGCCTGGGCAACAGAGTGAGGCCCTGTTTCAAAAAAAGGGGGAGCTTTTCCAAGCCCACACTTAGATGCTGTCTCTCTTACAGAGCAGGCTCCCTGTTCCTGGAGGTACTCAAACATCAACTGAATAAGGCCTTGGAAAGAATGCTGTTTAGGGCTTTGTAGCTCCAGAGTGGGGGTCAGACTAAATGACCTTCAAAGTCCCTTTCTGACTTACAATTCTACAAACTTAAGCTAGCTCACCTCTCTGCCTTAATAGCCACATCAATAAAATGAAAATAATACTGCCTGCCTCTAACTACATTGGAATGTCATAAAGGTAAATCAGATAGTACACCTGAAGCACTTAGAGCAATTTAGGAAAAATAAACTCTATAAATCCAGATTAGGCTGGGGAAGAAGATGGCTGGGTCCACCTGACCTCCCCTAGGCCTTTATTTGGAATAGTTTCCTTAAGAGGATTTGTTTTCAATATAAATCCAAGTACACACACGTGCACACATGCAGAACTACTTTGTAAAATCCATGCACATAATGTTGAGATTCACAGGTTATATTATTTTATATTGAATAAGGCTCCCCCTCATCTAACACCTAGCTTTGTCCATAAACTCACCCTAAGCTTAGCTATCACAATATCTTTGTTTATTATCTCCTGTAAACTTCACAACAATCCTGCCGGTTATACATTGTTTATCACTTCCTTTTTCAAATGAAGACAGTTCCATAGAGCTCAAAAAGATTCTTTGTCCCTTAGGGTCACAAAAATATGTATAGGGCAGAGCAAGGATAGGAACCCAGGTGGTCTGACCTAGAGTCTATGCCCTTTCTTCTTCCAAGGCTTAGCTCAAGCTTTACTTCTGGACTCTGGAAAGTCATCCCTGACTGCCTCTGACCCCAGGGTGTGTTTGGAATGCCTTTCACATGTTTCACAAGCACCTGTTTATCTGTCCTATGATCCTGTACATGTATATATAGAAACTTACATGTCTACATGCTCCAGTAAACTGTGGAGTTCCTTGAGGATAGGGATGGTGGCTTCTTTATCTCTACATCCCCAGCTATTAATACAGGGCCTAAGCCACAGTGCTGGGATAAAAAAGGAACTGCCAGTTTTTGAGTGTCTATCTGTGTTAGGTGTATTATGACTGTCTTCTCCTTAACCCTCCCAACCCTCCTCACAACCCAAATTGTGGTTTTACCACAATTTCCAGGTGGAGGAAATGGAGAGTAAGGGGGCATATTCCAGGGACACATAGTGAATGGGAGGACCCAGGATTCAAATTGAGGTCTCTCTTACTCCAAAGCCTGGGTTATTGCAAATATATTGCACCACCTACCCTTATGAGGATAGCAGGAAGTATGAAACCCAATTTTTTTTGGTAAATGCTATGATTTGGCTATAGTTTGTCCTGACAAAAACTCACGTTGAAATGTGACCTCCAATGTGGTGGTATTGGGAAGTGGGGCCTAGTGGAGGTCTTTGTGTCACAGGGGCAGATCCTCTTGTGTGTCCTGGTGCCTTTCTCTTTTTTTTTTTGAGACGGAGTCTCGCTCTGTCGACCAGGCTGGAGTGCAGTCGCATGATCTCTGCTCACCGCAAGCTCTGCCTCCTGGGTTCACACCATTCTCCTGCCTCAGTCTGCCAAGTAGCTGGGACTACAGGTGCCCGCCACCATGCCCGGCTAATTTTTTGTATTTTTAGTAGAGACGGGGTTTCACTGTGTTAGCCAGGATGGTCTGTATCTCCTGACTTTGTGATCTGCCCGCCCCGGCCTCCCAAAGTGCTGGGATTACAGGTGTGAGCCACCGCGCCTGGCTTAGGTCTTAGTGCCTTTCTCATGGTAGTGAGTGAGATCTCACTATGGCACGACTGGATTAGTTCCTATGAGAGTGGGTTGTTACAAAGGCAGGACACCCCTCGGGTATTTTCTCCTTGGAAGTGTCCACTTCCATTTTGCCATGTTATGACACAGGATGAGAGCCCTTGCAAGAAGCTGCACCAGGCCCTTGAACTTTTTAGCCTGAAGAACCATGAGCTAAATAAACCTCTTTACAAAATACCCAGTCTCAGATTTTCTGTTACAGCAAAACAAAATGGACTAAGACAGTAAGAAAAGTTTTATTGGATTACAGCCATGCCTATTTGCTTATACATTGTCTATGGCTTCTTTTTTTTGTTTGTTTTAAGGGCTTTATTGAGATATTTTTACATAGTATACAGTTCACTCATTTAAAGTGTAAATCATATTTTTATATTTATTTATTTATTTATTTATTTATTTATTTATTTATTGAGACGGAGTCTCACTCTGTCACCCCGGCTGGAGTGCAGTGGTGCAATCTCAGCTCACTGCAACCTCTGCCTCCTGGGTTCAAAGGATTCTTCTGCCTCAGCCTCCCATGTAGCTGGGATTACAGGCTCCCACCACCATGCCTGGCTAGGAAATCACATTTTTAGAAAATGATACCTCATTATTACAGGACAAGAGGTAGATGGGAGACTGTCTATTTACTGGTGTCTCAAAAATGAAGTAGCATCAATGTGAGCATGGGGAGTGCTGAAGAGGGGGCGAAGGAGTTAAAAAGGGAAAGAAGAGGGTGGGCTCTTTACAGTTAACTCCTGACTTAGCATTTTACTTTAAAGACTTTAAGGACAACAGCAAATGGATTCCTGGAAGTATATGGATAGATGATTTTAGAGCACTCAAGCCCTGCTCTTCATAAAAGAAACTACACACAAATAATCCACCTGTCAAGGTACATGTCTCTCTAAGGGGGAAAATGGGGAAAACAAGAATGCCAATGGCTACAGTAAAGGCAGAAGAAATATTAGTACAACATACTGTTCGAGTTCAAAGGAAGATATGATTCTGGAAGTTTTCAAAGCCCTTTGCATGGTTCTCTCACTAACCTTCATTACAATGATATGGGGCAGGATTATTCTCCCTACTTTACAGGTGAGGAACCTAAATGAGCCTTCCTTTTTCAAGATTCATTAGACTCCAAGCCCACATCCTTAAAGTACAGTCGGCTGACACCAGGGCTGTCTGGGATCCTTTAGGAACACCTCAAGCCAAGACCTCCCTACACTGCAGAGAAGGATTAAGGACCATGGCAAATGCCCTAGGCCCTTATATCTGGCAGTGGACCTAGAGGACATGCTTACTCATGGGGAGGGGAGGGGAACATGGGAGAGAAAAGTCAGGAGTAAGGCAGGCACATTTAGGAGAAAGTGTAGAGAGTGGCCCCGCTGACAGGGGCCATTCCTTCTAGGTACAACTAGGAGGCAGGAGAACATAGTGGTTAGAAATGTTCACATGGGAACTGTGGAGTCACACAGCCTGAGTTCCAATTCTGTTTGTCCCATTTACCTTCTGCATAACTTTAGATGATTCATTAAAACTTTTTTTTTTTTTTGAGACAGAGTTTCGCTCTTGACACCCAGGCTGGAGTGCAGTGGCGCGATCTTGGCTCACTGCAATCTCCGCCTCCCAGGTTCAAGCAGTTCTCCCACCTCAGTCTCCTGAGTAGCTGGGATTACAGGCGTGCGTGACCATGCCTGGCTAATTTTTCTTTTGTATTATTAGTAGAGAAGGGGTTTCACCATTTTGGCCAGGCTGGTCTTGAACTCCTGACCTCAGGTGATCCACTCGCCTTGGCCTCCCAAAGTGTTGGGATTACAGGCGTGAGCCACCACGCCTGGCCTACTTAACCCTTTTAACCTATCCATGCCTCAGTTTCCTCAACTGTAAAATGGGACTAATTGTTTTCTCATAGGGTTATTTTGAGAACTCAACTAATTTTTATAAAGCTCTAAGAATAGTGCCTAGTATGTAGTGAGCACTCCAACCATGTTGGCTGTTCTTAATACACATTTAGAAATACTGTTGGAGCTAGAATTTGGAAAGATTGAAATGTCAAGCTATAAACTTATCCTTGATTCTGTTGCTCTTGGTTTTTGAACATGAAGAAATCGGAGTTTTGGGAAGGTTTGCCTATGTTCGAATGGATTCAAGTCATAGGAAAACTGGAATCAAGAGACCAGTGAAGGCATGGCTGACAAGTTCTTTATGGTAATTTCATTGTCTGGGAGAGAGGAGGGCTGGCCACTGCTGACTGCACAGGAGCTGTCAGTGCCTGTCGAATCGCCTGCTCTGAGGTGGTGGTTTGGCTGTGTTACAGCCCAGATTTCACTGTCAGGGAGGACTTTTGCCTATTACTTTACAGGAAATAGGGATCATTTTCTTTCACCCGCCAGGGAGAGTGACTGTCTTTATGAAGCACCTTGGTAAAGAGGAAGAAGACCCGGGGTCTTGGCACAAAGAGTCCAGTTCAAGAACTGGCAGCAGGCTGGAAGCAGCAATGCCAACCAACAACGAAGTGGAGTTGGGCCCTATTTTAGGGACATTGAAGCGCTCACCTAAAATTCTTCTCCTTGGAGATGACCTAACAGAGTACCATCATGCTGTTTCTGGTTGATGGCAGGCTTGGCTGCAAAGAGAGCTCTTCCCAAGATGAACTTTTTCCATACTGTGATCGTCCCTCTTTCTCCCTTGACATTTGCACAGTCTATTGGGAATTGGACTGAAGGGGCTCCGAGCTGATGGGCTGTTTGGGCCCCTTTCCCCGTCTACGTCACACACATATCCAAGCTTTTCATATACTGTGCATGAGCTCTCTCTGACTTTGCCTGTCTATCCTGAGTGGGGCTTTTTCTAAATGTGGTGCCCAATAACTTCAAGGGATCAAGTGCTTTCGAGAAATGTTTCTCCTAAGAAGATGAGCTGGGGGGGAATTGAAAGCAAGGCTGCCAGCTTTGATGTCTTAAGTATGAAATTTCAATGGCTTACCAGCTGCCAAACTCTGATTTTAGTGCAGCTGGAGTAAGATTTAAGGAAATGATCACATCCCATGTCCCACGGGAGACAAGTAATGATGGAGGAATAGCCCAAGGAACCCAGGACAGGAGAGGTTGGAGATTCTGACCAGGGGTTTTCAACTGGCCTAGGTGATCTGAGAAATATCTCTCTATATATTTCTAAAGATAATTTTGTTTGGTATTTTTCATTATAAAATACATGCTTATTATCAGAAATTCAGAAAATATGAAAAATCAGAAAGAGAGAAACAAAGTAATAGTTTTGCCATTCCATTCTCCAAAGAAACACATTTCTTTCCAGTTCTTTTTTTCCTTCCGGGTATTTCCTTCCAGTTCTTTTTTTTTTTTTTTTATGATTTAAAGAATCATTGTTTGTCTCTTTACCTTCCTACATATCTACTTATCTATTTGTCTCATTTAGTTCTATAATTGCCCTCGCTTCGGCTTATTTGGTTGATTGGTTTTATTTTTGTTTTGTCCAGCTAGCATAGTAAGATACATTTTTCAAATTACTGCAAATTTCTGCAATTTTCATACTAGACCAGGGATTCCTAAGAGTTAGGGTGCTAAAATCACCTTAAGAACTTATGAAAATTCTGGGGTGGTGCCTGAGACTCTGCTTTTTGGCAATTTTGAGGCATGCAGTTCATAGACCATACTTTGGGAATCATTTATGTCAGGCTCAATATAATGTTTATATGATCCATTGAGTGGATTTTTTACAAATTCACCCATTTCTGTTATACAAGATATATAGGTTGTTTACAGTCATTCATTAAGTATAAACAATGCTACAATGAACATTTTCAGTTATTCATCTGTTCATTCATTCAACAGACTTTTTTTTAAGAGAGTCATTAATAACTTTTAATCTATCTCTTGCAGGCATAGGATTCTTTTTTTTGTTGTTATTATACTTTAAGTATTAGGGTACATGTGCACAACGTGCAGGTTTGTTACATATGTATACATGTGCCATGTTGGTGTGCTGCACCCATTAACTCGTCATTTACATTAGGTATATCTCCTAATGCTATCCCTCCCCCCGCCCATCCCATGACAGGCCCTGGTGTGTGATATTCCCCTTCCTGTGTCCAAATGTTCACCTCATGAGAACATGGGGTGTTTGGTTTTTTGTCCTTGTGGTAGTTTGCTGAGAATAATGGTTTCCAGCTTCATCCATGTCCCTACAATGGACATGAACTCATCATTTTTTATGGCTGCATAGTATTCCATGTGTATATGTGCCACATTTTCTTAATCCAGTCTATCATTGTTGGACATTTGGGTTGGTTCCAAGTCTTTGCTATTGTGAATAGTGCCGCAATAAACATACGTGTGCATGTGTCTTTGTAGCAGCATGATTTATAATCCTTTGGGAATATACCCAGTAATGGGATGGCTGGGTCAAATGGTATTTCTAGTTCTACATCCCTGAGGAATCACCACACTGACTTCCACAGTGGTTGAACTGGTTTACAGTCCCACCGACAGTGTAAAAGTGTTCCTATTTCTCCACATCCTCTCCAGCACCTGTTGTTTCCTGACTTTTTAATGATTGCCATTCTAACTGGCATGAGATGGTATCTCAATGTGGTTTTGATTTGCATTTCTCTGATGGCCAGTGATGATGAGCATTTTTTCATGTGTCTTTTGACTGCATAAATGTCTTCTTTTGAGAAGTGTCTGTTCATATCCTTCACCCGCTTGTTGATGGGGTTGTTTGTTTTTTTCTTGTAAATTTGTTTGAGTTCTTTGTAGATTCTGGACATTAGCCCTTTGTCAGATGAGTAGATTGCAAAAATTTTCTCCCATTCTGTAGGTTGCCTGTTCACTCTGATGGTAGTTTCTTTTGCTGTGCAGAAGCTCTTTAGTTTAGTTAGATCTCCTTTGTCAATTTTGGCTTTTGTTGCCATTGCTTTTGGTGTTTTAGACATGAAGTCCTTGCCCATGCCTATGTCCTGAATGGTATTGCCTATGTTTCCTTCTAGGGTTTTTATGGTTTTAGGTCTAACATTTAAGTCTTTAATCCATCTTGAATTAATTTTTGTAAAAGGTGTAAGGAAGGGATCCAGTTGCAGCTTTCTACATATGGCTAGCCAATTTTCCCAGCACCATTTATTAAATAGGGAATCCTTTCCCCATTTCTTGTTTTTGTCAGGGTTGTCAAAGATCAGATAGTTGTAGATGTGTGGCATTATTTCTGAGGGCTCTGTTCTGTTCCATTGGTCTATATCTGTGTTTTGGTACCAGTACCATGCTGTTTTGGTTACAGTAGCCTTGTAGTATAGTTTGAAGTCAGGTAGCATGATGCCTCCAGCTTTGTGCTTTTGGCTTAGGATTGATTTGGCAATGCGGGCTCTTTTTTGGTTCCATATGAACTTTAAAGTAGTTTTTTCCAATTCTGTGAAGAAAGTCATTGGTAGCTTGATGGGAATGGCATTGAATCTATAAATTACCTTGCACAGTATGGCCATTTTCACGATATTGATTCTTCCTACCCATGAGCATGGAATGTTCTTCCATTTGTTTGTATCCTCTTTTATTTCGTTGAGCAGTGGTTTGTAGTTCTCCTTGAAGAGGTCCTTCACATCCCTTGTAAGTTGGATTCCTAGGTATTTTAGTCTCTTTGAAGCAATTGTGAATGGGAGTTCACTCATGAGTTGGCTCTCTGTTTGTCTGTTATTGGTGTATAAGAATACTTGTGATTTTTGCACATTGATTTTGTATCCTGAGACTTTGCTGAAGTTGCTTATCAGCTTAAGGAGATTTTGGGCCGAGACGATGGGGCTTTCTAGATATACAATCATGTCATCTGCAAACAGGGACAATTTGACTTCCTCTTTTCCTAGTTGAATACCCTTTATTTCCTTCTCCTGCCTGATTGCCCTGGCCAGAACTTCCAACACTATGTTGAATAGGAGTGGTGAGAGAGGGCATCCCTGTCTTGTGCCAGTTTTCAAAGGGAATGCTTCCAATTTTTGCCCATTCAGTATGATATTGGCTGTGTGTTTGTCATAGATAGCTCTTATTATTTTGAGATGCATCCCATCAATACCTAATTTATTGAGAGTTTTTAGCATGAAGGGCTCAACAGACATTTTTGAGCACCTGCGTAAGGTAAGCCTTTTTTTCCAGGTGTTGGAAAGATCAGTGGCAAGACAGACCCAGTTCCTGCTTTTGCTTAATGGAGATAAAGACAGACCCACGAAATTAGATTGCTGCAAATGGTTGTGAATGCTGTGAAGGAAAGTTTCAGACTGCTATGGGGGAGACAAATAATTTAGATTCAGAAAGCCTCTGTGAGTACGTGACATACAGGTGAAGCTTGAAGGAAGAATAGGAGTTAGCAGACATCACTTTTAAGATTTGCAGAAGTGGAATTATTGGATTAAAGGGTATTAACTTTTAAAACAACCTTCTTAATCTCCCCTCCCCCTCAGGCTTTAGTGCGCTGGACGTATATCAGTCAGGGTCCAGTTGGGAAAAGACAAACCACATTTGGTATTTCACATGGAGGGGGTTTAATACAGGGGATTAGTTATAAAATAGTTTGATGGGTTGAAAGAGCAAATGGGAAGGGTGAAGTGAAGCAGAGATTAGTAAGTGCAGGAAGCTCCCTACCTAGTGCTGAGGGAATAAGGAAAGCTATAGTGTATCTAGAGCCCACCAGTCCCTCTTTGCTAAGCTGCACTACTGAGGGGCTGTGGATGCTTACCAGCCCATGCTGGAATCAGCGAGAAGGGACTATGAAGGCTGATGTTGGAGTCAGAGAACAGGCACTGCACGGCTTGTGCTGTGACCTCCAGGGTGCTGGGCCATGAGCCATGACGTCTGAGGAGTACTGGTGGCTGGTGATGAGAATGCTGAGTGGACTCTGTATGACTGAAGCTGAGGTCCGATGGGGTGCCACTTGGCTGATGCTGAGATTGGGAGTGGCTGGTAAGCTCTGGGCCTGGGATCAAGGAAGAGGCCTGAGATCAACAAAGAGGGGGAAACTGCCAAATGATGCTGGAGGTCTAGCTGTCCTCTGCTGCTGGAAGGACACTGTGAAGAAATATGGGACCTGAAAACAGGAAATCCCTTCCTTTTGCCTTCCCAGATCTCCCTGTCAACAAAGCCTAAGCAAAAGCCACCATGCAAGAGAATATGGGAAATGCAGATTTTGGTGTCCCAGGCAGAGACAGGCAGAAATGGGACCTGAGAATAAACAGGCAGATGGCCAGCACACAGAGAAAGGAGACATCCTTATACCTGTCTCCTGTCCTCTCCTGCTTTTGCACTGCACCTGGGGGCATTAGACCTGCTCAGTGGTTATCCATTCCATGGCTCCACTTTTCTTCATAAAATCCTTTTTTTCCCTAAATGTCTTTGTGCATAAACCTAACTCTGAATTATCAAAGTCAACACAAAATGTCTGTTGTATGGATGGATGACAGGTGGATGAATGATGACTGAATGAATCATAGCTGCTCCTACATATTTCTAAGTATCTGGTACTGTTCTACATTCCTTCTTTCATTTAAGCCTCACATCTGCCCCTGTAGGTAGGCAGTATCATTCCTGTTTGACGATGAGACAGTAGCTGAAAGGGTTGAAGTGACTTACACACCATCACACACCTCCTAAGTAATGAGGAGATCCAAACCCTGGTCTGTTGGCCTTCATTCCTGCTACACCTCTGGAAACATCGATAATGCAGGCCAACATTTAAAGGCCATTCTTGAGAGATTCTTAGAGGCAGGTGGGAAGTGGCTTAGTTGAACATACACGAGCATCTATTAGGGTATATTGGTAATAGCTTGGAAATGAGCTGACCCTGGAAGTCCAGTGGAAATGACAGCCTTGTGATTCCAGGCCACGACGTGGCTCCAGGCTCCTGTCTAAAAACTTCCCCCTGACCTTTCCCTAACACTTGGCATTTTAGTGTTCCGTTGATTACAGATCACTTACATGCAGCACACAGTTGACTGTTTGTTAAAATAGAAAGTGGAAAAAAAAATAGAAAAGAAAGTATGTGCTTGCCAGAGCGGTGCTGTGGAACGGCTGTTCCCAAGGTATTCATCGCAGTACGTCTAAACACCTATAATTAAACTAGCTTTGGAGCCATGCCTCTTGGAGAGGGTGGAAGAATCAATTCTGCAGTATTTGGATCTTGTTCTTTGTATACACTGCTCAGCAGTAAAGATGTTCAAAAAGGACCAGATGCTGTGGCTCAAGAATGCAATTACCCACCTATCAGGGGTGTATGGATGATGGTCTGATCTTGGGGACATCCAAGCCCAGGGGAGCAGAAGGAAACAGACAAGTGATGAATACGGTGGCCTCTGGTCCTCTGTGCCTGTACCCCAATTTCATTTCCTTGCTGGGGATTTTATTTTTGTAGCTCTGATGAATGATCGCTGGGTCGCTTTGTGTTAAACAGTTAATTAATGGGAACTCAAGTCAGCTGTCCTATTTATGAGACTCTGTAGCAGGCAGAGACACTTCACTCATCTGGAAAAAATAAGTTGGGATCAAGCTGCATCTTCTATATAAATATGTGAGGTGCTGCTGTCAGACGCCAGTACCAGTCAGCACTGTCCGGCTTAACATGAATCACTGAAATGACCCGGACCTTCAGTCTGAGTTGATTGTAGCTTATGTGTGCCATATAATCTCATATGCTCAGAATGTCTTGTGAACCAAGCATGCTATCAAGATACAGTTTTAATTAACATTTGCTTTTTAGATAATATACGCAATTTATTTTGGCAGGAGTTCATTGAAAGTAAAATCTACATAATTAAGATACTAAACCTGCAATATTTTTTTTCTTTGCAGTATTTTTTGCTAAATGGCACAGAATCAGCAACACTTATTACCCAGTAGATAGCTGTAATGGGCAATCACATTTCATAGTTTCTTTCTTTATTAAAAATTGTTTCTCTAACTAGATGATACAAAGTCGTATAGTTGATTCTGTTCACTTTTTAAGTTCAGGGGTGTCAGGTCTTTTTCTAAGTTCAATTTCATTAAAAATAAAACAAAGAAAACACATTCATGACTCTCTCGCACAGAAATCTGCTATAAAATTATAGCTTATTTTAGAAAGTAATATTATTTTATGAGCTTATTTCACTAAGTTTTTCACCATAAAGGATGATATAACTCTGGGGCATGATCAGTTGGGAATGGGCATGCTAGGAGAAACCTTAAAGATCATTAAAATGATTCCTCGCTTTATGAAGAAGGCCACTGAGTCTCAGAGTGGAAATGTGACTCACCCATGTTCATACAACACACTGGAGCCTGAACCAAGACTAGAACCCACAACCCTTAACAAGCAACACTTGTTTTGTACTATTCTAGCTGCTGTTGCTATGTACTATTCTATCATGGCCACCAGATACCTGTGCTTTTTGAGAAACATCTGCCCTCTACCCTAAAGGAGCCTCCTGCACTCTCTTCGATGATGTCTTGTAAGTTTGGAAATGCCTCTGTATCACGTAAAATAGGCATTTTTTTTTAAAGGAAAATAGACCTGGTTCCCAAGACACTTCCTTTAAAGTGAAGAGCAGCACCATGGCTGAATCCCAATTGCTTTGTTCTTTGTGATAATTCCTATAATTGGGTCAGAGGGCTAATGACTTGGCTTCACGAATCTAAACCATATGCCTCCATGATTTGCAGCCAGCTGAGTGCTGTTCACCACAGAAGCCCAGGGCCTCAGCTGAGAAAAGCAGCAGCCAGACCGGAGCTGGGAGCAGGAAGCAGAACAGACCCTGGTTATGAGGCCATTTTATAGATCTTCCCTCCACCCCTTCCAATCTGCTTGGTTTCTGAGCTGCCAAGTTCTTCCTAGACAGGCCCTTGACAGGGGCCTTTCCTGAGGACTCTGACTGCGCTTGGAATATGGTAGGCAGGATTGTGCCTGTGTCAGTCTCTTCACTCAGATCTGCAGTAAGCCACTAATTAGTGTCAGTAATTGCTGGAGGAGAGGATAGCTGGCTGCCCATCAGGATGCGGGAGGAGGGGTTGCTAGTGCTCTCCCTCATTTCCTCCCTCCCTGGCTCTCTTCTCTCTAGCGTTAAGCAATAAATCTATATTGGTTAAATCGGCTGTTGGGCTGCTTGTTGAAAAGGACATCAGTGGAGTCCTGTCAGGTTAATGGGTTTAGCTAATGTATGGGCACAAGGATGAGTAACTCCAATCAGGCATCATAGCCAAAGGCAGGAGGGTGGAGGTCTCCCAGAGTCATCAGAGCAGGGGACTCAAAGATACACTTCTGGGGACCTGGGCCCTGGGCTGGTAGGAGGGAAGTTTCAATAAATCTGTTTTTTGGGAGCAATTCTGTTAAAAGAAGGAGAAAATAGTTTAGTCATGCCCTGCACAATGACGTTTCAGGCAATGATGGATTGCATATAAGACAGTTGTTCCATAAGATTATAACAGAGCATCTATAGATACTTGATGTTATTATTGCAGATCAAGTAGGGGAGAGGACTTATATTTAGTAATGGTGCTGGGTAATTTGGTTTCCATGTGAAATATATATGTGTGTGTGTGTGTGTGTGTGTATATATATATTATATATATATAACAATGTTATTAATGTGTATGTGTATATATATATATACACATACCTTCTAGGTTTATGTAATGCTCTCTGATGTTTGCACAATGACAAAATCACCTACAACGCATTTCTCAGAGCATGTATCCCCATCGTTAAGCAACGCGTGACTTTAATCTGTGAGCCACATACCAAAAGATGGTGGGGAGGATAGAGGGCTCAGACTTCACACAGACTGGACTACTGCTACTGATGCTGCCAACTAATTGCTGTAACCTGGGGCAGGGGATTAACTTCTCTTAGCTTCAGATTTCTCATCACTACTATGAGGCGAGAAAGAGCATCTATCTCATAGGGTCGTTGACAGCTAATACATATACATTGCTTAGTATATAATCACTGTTCTTAAGTAGGAGCACTTATTACATAGTATGAATTAGGTTAAAATATGTAACACACCAGGCACTTGGGTGCTTGTGTGCTAGTAAATTTCAGTGTAATTTCATACAGACCTTGGAGCATCTTTACAGTCAGGTCAGGAGACCTAATGTTTTCTGGTTACCACATGGTCAGTTCTCTCTTTACCATCCCTCTCCCGCCTTTTTGGCATGTGAGAAAGATGTGAATGAATCATGGCCACCAGATACCTATGCTGTGTGCAGCCTCCTCTGTAGGTGCACCGTGCCTGAGTGCTTGGTGTAGTGGTACTGAGGGCACCAAGAGCCCTGCTTATGTCCTGATAAAATGTTTTAAGATATATTACAAGTCCTCAATAATTTGGACACAGAATAACTAATGATATGGAGCAGTTGTGTTTTTGCTTAATTGGCATGTGACGTAATTATAAAACAATGTTATTAATGTGTATAAGTGTTTTTACATTCAGTTCCCTGAAGCTAGGTGCTTTTGTTGCTTACAATGTTCCTTTGCTTAGCAAATCTATCTATCTATCTATCTATCTATCTATCTATCTATCTATCTATCTATCTGCATATTATATTCTTATTTTTATATGTGTGTCTGCTAAGAAAATGTGTATTGCCTATGTGCATACACATCTATTCATTTATCCATTCCACAAATATTTATTGAGCACCAAGAGAAGGGCAGAATTTTAGAACGAGAAGGGACTTAGGCAGTCATTCTATTCAGGGCTCTAAGTTTAGGGAAGAGGAACCTGGAATCTTAACATAACAAGGTTCTCTCTCCTCCCGGGTACCCTCTTCCCTCATCTTCACTTAGATTCCATGGTCCATCAATATAATTACTGTAATAATGGGCCTCAATAGCTTTCCCTTTCACCTTCTATCCTGCTAGGCTGGCCAGACCACAATTCTGGGGAGCCTCACTGTGCCCCTCTGCCTGACACCATAGCAACTGCCTTTTGTGGGATAAAAGCCCACAGCTGGGCGGCCTGATTGTATCTCATGACCACACACCTTCATCTCAGAGAGTATGGCAGAGTGGTTAAGAGCTAAGCCATATTGTCTGGGTTTGTGTAGTGGTTCTATCATGTTCTAGCTGTGGGACCATAGGCAAGTTACTTCACCTGCCAGTGCTTTATTTTCCTCATGTTCAATGAAGGTAATAGTTTTTATCTCATAGGGATGTTTTGAGGATTAAAGAATTCAAAATATATGAGGCATTTAGAGCAGTGCCTGATGCTATATAGGTATTGGTTCATTATGGTTATCGTATACTCTTTATTGCTAAGCAAACTTTTCTACATACACAATGGCTGCTGGGGTTCCAGCTATCCAAGTCACATTCCAGGAAGCAGGAATGGCAAAGGGGCTTCTGCTTTTTAAGAATCCTTTCCAGAAGTTTCTCACTACTTCCATTGGGAGAACCTGGTTTCATGGACATACTTAGCTTTAAGAAAGACTGATAAATGAGATCACTATTTCAAGTAGTATTGTGCCCCAGTCGAGATGCTGTTACTGAGGAAGAAGGAAGAATGTCATTCAGGCAATGACAAACTCTATTACAAGCTTTGGCTAAATGTAATGAATTCTCTGCATTCCTGTCACCAAAGTGAACAGGGGCATTCATCCTACTCCTTTACATATTTCTGCCTGTTTTGACCTCTCTAATACCACAGCCTCCAGGTTTTCCTCCTACCTCCCTAGCCACTGTCTTTTCATGTCTTTTGCTGGTTTCTCTTCTTCTTCTCAATCTCTGTATGTTAGTGAGCCCCAGTGTTAATACTGAATCTTCCACTTTTCTCCACCTACACTCACTTCATGGTGGTGGATACCCTACACATGCTGGTGCCTCCAAAGTTTACATCTCTAGCCCAGACTTCTTCCCTGAGCTTCAGACTCATACCTACTTATCTCCATCTTGAAATGTACAGTTCTGAAATATAGCTCTTGATTTTCCAGCTAACATGTTTCTCTCCTACCTGTCCCTATCTTGGCACATTAACACACCACCAATCCACTTGAAGTCAAATATTTAGAAGCCATCCTTGATGCTTCCTTATCATTCAACCGCTCACTCCATTGCAATTTCCAAATGGTTGTCAAATCTGTCTGCCTCTTTCCCCTCTGCAGGCACTGCTCTAGTCCAAACCAGCAACCTTCCTCACCTCAACTGCTGTGATACCCTTTCCTTGCACCAACGCCCTCTGCTCTGCTACAGAAGAAAGCGTGGAAGGAGGAAGACTTTCACGCTTTATTCTGTAGCAGAGCAGAGGGGTTTAATGCAAGGACTCTAGAGCCAGACTGTGTGGGTTCAAATCTTAGCCTCAACACCTATTAGTTTTGTGACTTGGGCAAGTTTTTTTGCCTCAGTTTCTTCATCCATAAAATGAACATAATAATGGTACCTATTTTGTATGGTTATTGTGAGCAATAAATAAGTTAATATACCTAAGCACTTACAGCAATGCCTAGTATATAGTAAGTGCAATCAATAAATGTTAGCTATTATCATTAGCTATAATTACCATACATCCTTTCATGGAGCAGTTGGAATAATCTTTTAAAAACATAAATTCAGTTCTATCATTCTTGTGCTTAAGATTCTCCAGTGAGTTCCCATTTCAGTTACAATGGAATTCTAACAGATTACGATGGCTAAAGGCTCTACATTTCCTAGCCCTTGACTCCTCCCATCCGTACAACTTTCTCCCCATCACTTACCATCCTTAAGCTGCGCTGGCTTTATTTTAGATCCTTTGACATTTCAAGCTCTTTGCTTCCTTTGGGGGCTCTGCCCTTGTTCTTCCCTCTGCCTGGCATACTCTGCCTTCACTCCAGCTGTTCATAGGACTAGTTTCTTCCTATTTTTTAGGTCTCAGTTCAATTATCTCCTGCTCCAAAAGGCCCCCTCTGACCATGTACCTCAAGGGGTAGCCTTGCGCTGATTACTCTTCCTCTTTATTTTCCATGGTATTTATTACCATTTTCAGTTTTCTTGTTGGTTTGTTTGCTTAGTCTATAGTGTGTCTCTCTGTGCTTTGATACGTGAGAATACAGACCTCACTTACTGTGTACAGTCACAGATCCCAGGACCTTAAACAATAGTGGACGTAGTAGATGCTCACAAACCAGCTGGTGAATGAAAGACCCTCGAGCAAGATTTTGAAGAATAAATAGGAATTTTCCAGACACTCAAGGAGAGGCAAGGATTTGAGGCAAAGGAAACATCATTTGCCAATGCATGCAGATCTGAAACATCACAGTGCCCAGCTATTAAAAGCATGGTACGTCCCTGATACCAGCAGCATCAGCTTCACCTAGGAACTTGTTAGGAATGCAGAATCTCAGGCTGAGGCCTGTGATCCACCAAATCAGAATCTGCATTTTAAGTGGACTTCCAGGTGATTCCTTTGAGAAACAGTGGGGTTTTACATTTGGGGAACTGGAAATAACCATAATTGCCAGAGCATGAAGTACAAAGGAAGATGTATGAATTTGAATGTAAATTCAGCTACATGTGACAGGCCCATAATAGTGGTTTAACAAGACCAGATACATTTGTTTGCATTTTATGTAAAGTCCAAGCTAATATGGCTGGTTTTTGGTTAAATTTATCAGAGGCCTGGCACATTCTAAGTAGACCATAAAGATAAATTCTCCTCCCCGTCCTCTGGTAAAGATTTTCTAAGATTTTGTGCTGCTGCTTTGTGCTTGGTTGAAACCATCCTTCTGAGCTGTATTCCACAATAACCAGTGAGCACCCACAACCTGCTGGGAGCTGGGGACTCAGTAGTGAGGGAGACGTGACATCATCCCTCAAGTTGCTTAGCCTCTGGTGTGAAGACAAGCATGGAAATACGCAATTGGGATATAGTTTCTGATTCCTCCTTGTGACTTCATTTCTTGGGAATATCGGGAATAAAGGTCAGCAGGGTAAATGGGAAGGCTCCAGAAGTGAGGCCTCATGTGACTGAGGTTGGGGAGAAAGAAGGTGGAAGGGAGCACAGAAGACTCCAGTTTTTTCCTCCAATATTTGATGAATACTCAACCAAAAGAATAAGGACAGCAAGCAATGAATTAAAACACACTGAATAACACAAAAAGGAACCTACATGTCTAGAGTGATACTAAAAATTGAAAAGGGAGAGGGAAAGCTCTTTTTAGAAGATCATAGAAGCCAACTAACTTAGAGGAATGATAGAATTAGAAAACTGTGTTGAAACCATGGTTACAATAACTGAATTGAGTAAGTATTAACAACCGATGCTGATAGGGTTTGGCTGTGTCCCCACCCAAATCTCATCTTGAATGGTAGCTCCCATAATTCCCACGTGTCATGGGAGGGACCTGGTGGGAGGTAATTGAATCATGGGGGTGGGTCTTTCCTGTGCTGTTCTCATGATAGTGAATAAGTCTCACGAGATCTGATGGTTTTATAAAGGGGAGTTCCTCTGCACACATTCTCTCCTGCCTGCCAACATGGAAGATGGGCCTTTGCTTCTCCTTTGCCTTCCGCCATGATTGTGAGGCCTCCCCAACCATGTGGAATGGTGAGTCCATTAAACCTCTTTCCTTTATAAATGACCCAGTCTCGGGTATGTCTTTATTAGCAGTGTGAGAGTGGACTAATACGGATGCTTACATTATTGTATTAAAAGTTGTTTGGGAAAAGGATATTCATATGGTCTTAAATACAGTCTCAAATTGCACTCCACAGAAAACTGATGGATTACACAGGGAAAAGGTACCTTTACAATGAAGGAATCTGGTGAACACCAGATGATAAATTTAATGTCCTCAGTGATGGAGCTAACTGAAATCATGTCACTCAAATTGAGGATTATTCTGTAAAACGGCTGGCTTAGACTACTCAAAACTGTATGTGTCCTGGAGAAAAAATGCAAGGACCAGCTTCACATTAAAAGCTAACAAGAAATGACAATTAAATGCAAAACATGGCCCTTGATTTGATCCTAAATGGGAAAGAGATGCTGAAAGGACGTTATTGAGACAATTAGGGACATCTGAATATGGACTGTATGTTAGGTAATAATTCTTTAATGTACCAAGTGAGATCGTAGTATTGTGGTTACCCAGAAAAATGCCCTTATTCTTAGAAGATACAGGCAAAATAATTTGGGGGTAAACAAGATAACGATATTGCCAAGTTATTCTCCAGTAGTTTCAGAAAAAAATATATAGAAAAGGTATATAGAGAAAAAGATAAGACACGTGGCAATTGTTAACATTTGGTGAATCTAGTAAAAAGTACTCAAGTGTTCTTTGTGCTATAATTAAAGCTTTTCAATACTTTTCAATAGTTTCTTTCTTTTTTTTTTTTTTTTGAGACAAGATCTCACTCCGTCGATCAGGCTGGAGACCAGTGGTGTTATCTTGGCTCACGGCAACCTCCACCTCCTGAACTCAAGTGATCCTCCCACCCCAGCCTCCCAAATAGCTGGGACCACACAGATGTGCACTACCATGCCCAGCTAATTTTGTTTTTTTTGTAGAGATGGGGTTTTGCCATGTTGCCCGCGTGTTTGTTTGTTTGTTTGTTTTTAATACAAAGAATGTTTTACTAGCTCTTGTAGCTGATCCTATAAGACCAAGTTCAGAGTACACAGTGAATTCTCCAATCTCACATCATTTGGGATTCGCAGTGGGGTTGGCTGTGAGAAGGAATGGTGGAGCTGGGGTTCTGCAGGCTCAGATTCAGCCTCTGTCTGAACCTTACATCATCTGCCTTCTCTTTGCAGTGCCTGAACTAACAAGCCATGAATTCAGCGCCTGACAGACTGGGAAGCACTGGGGAGTAAAGTCTGCTTTCCTTTTAAAACACAATATCAGACTTAAAGCCACCTCCTGTATCTAGGCCCCTTTTCTGCTGGCTAGGGAGGCTCTGGGAAAAGAAAGGCCAGCAGCAGGTCATCAGGGTGGGTTAGGGTGCTGGGGTATTTATTTGTAGCAGTGAGAGGGGCTATTATTAGTGTAGTGGGAGAAGTAGAGATGAGATGAAATTGTAATTGTGAGAGTTGGAGAAGAGTAAATTTCAAAGAACATTTTTAGTCACAGATGGTTGAAGAGAAATATGGAGAACAGGCCCCAGCACCTCGTCTTCCTAGCTGATTGCAGGGAGGGGGAGCTCGCTAATGAACACATTGATTTCCCAGCTCCTCAGAACAATAGCAAATGCTTTCTGCGGTTATTAATTGGGAACCCGCAGCAGGTGTGGGGAATGGAAGGCGCTCATGATTCTAAGTTTATCTTTAGGGGTTAGGCCAATATAAAGAGAATGTAAAAAGCAAGAAGGAAGGTCATTTAATAGCATAGCAGGAGAGCTGGACAGACTTGCTGCAACTCTCAGGCTTGCTACTGAACAGCTTACCTTCTGTAAGCCTTTGTTTTCCTCTTTGGTAAAAATTAGAATAATTTTTCCTTTATATGGATAGCATGAGAACTAAATGACATAGTTAACATATGTAAAAGTACTTTGTAAGTGTTCTTGCACCATACATTATTTTTCTTCCAGAAAAACTTATCCAAGGAGTGTTTATGAAGCACCTGCTGTGTTCCAGGCTCTGTGCTAGGTTTGAGGAATATGGCAGTGAACTGGAAAATATAGTCCCTGCCCCCATAGAATCAGTAATCTAGCAAGAAAGAACATTCACCAAGTAATTACAAATGGATAGAGATGTACTGACTTCTCTTAGAAGCAGGAAACAGGCAGAGCTGGGAAGTCAGAGAAGGCCTGAAGGAAGTAATTATCATCAAGGGGACCCATCATAAACAGAAATACTACTAAGCTCCCCTACATAGTGGGGTCAAAGACATAAATGCTGACCCTGGTTGGCCACATGGACAAAGGTCTAAAAACTTGTGAAGGATGGATTGACTTATATTTCCCCAGTTGAGGAAAGAGAAACCAGTGTGTCCTTAGAATGACCCCTATAGTCTCGCTTGCTCAGGTAGCCTAGCCTTGAGCTAGTCAGCCATCAGGGCTGCAAGGCCTCTGCCGTGCAAACTCCCCAGGGACTGACTGGCATCCTAGAACAGGGTATTCCTCATTCTCGTTAGGCTGACTCTAATAACGAAGCTCATTTCCCCAAAGTGGTCAGGCAATTCCTGCTTTCTCTCAAATAAAGAAGGCAGCAGGGGACAGGGTCTCTCTCCTGGGTCCACCCAATACCCCCCAGTGTGTGCCATCTTGCTCACCCCCAAGAACACCTCTCTCCATGGGAGACTGTCCATTCCACTATCTCAGTGCCTGCAATTTTCCCCTAATAGCAATGCCGTGAGACTGTAACCAATAGCACTTGCAGTGTTTATCCTCAATCCTAGTCCCTTTTTATAAAACATCCCTTTTTATAAAACCACCCCTGAAAAACAGGACTTTTGGCCTGGGCACCCTGGCTCATACCTGGAATCTCAACTCTTTGGGAGGCCGAAATGGGAGGACAGCTTGAGCCTAGGAGTCAGAGGCTGCAGTTAACTATGATCACCCACTGTACTCCAGCCTGAGTGGCAAAGTGAGACCCTGTCTCTAAAAAATAAAAAAAAAAAAGAAAAAGATAAACAAGACTTCTGGCAGGGAGACAAGAGGTTTGTGTTCAGTTCCATTGAGCATGAGTTTCCTGAGCAGCCACTGAGAGATAAGCTCAGTGCTGGGCCTGGTGCATTCCGAGGTAAACGTACCTCTAGTCCAATGCGAGAGCCGGATCTTGACATAAATGCTGTGCATTGTGCAAGGTTAAAAGAAAGGTGAATGAAAGTATCACGAGGCTTCTAAAGTACTTTTTTTTTTTCTACCATTCACTCCTTGGGAAGCTTTGTGGAAAACAAGGAATCCTTGTTGTTTGATGGAGTCTGACTTTCTCCGTGAGTGGTGGCAGAGGTGATGGTCCGTGCATGTTTGCGGTCTCAGGGTAGGGTGTAGGAGTTGGGGTGGAACAAGTTGAATCCAGTGATACCTAAGATATCTTCAACTGCTTTGACCTTTATTCTGTTAAAATTCTGTGTGCCCTAATTATTTACCAGTGTGTAAAATGGGTATAATCATTCTTTGTGGTTTTAGAGACAGAGTTCCTGAATAGGACATAATGAGAGAATTTTCTGAGGGCTTCCACATCTAACAATGGTATAAGATCACACACTTTTCATTTTGCCTCCAGGATCCAAAGCAATTCCCATCCCTGTTGGTTTAGAACTGTAAGCTTTACACATAGATGAAATTATGAGACAGCTTCTATTTCATGAGGAAATTTTTAAAAATCATCTGCTCTCTATTCAAACTTCACAAAAGAAAAAAAGAAAGAAAACTCACACGTTTGCAAGAAACTGCTGGTGTTTTTGAATATCTCCCATAAGCAGGAGAATCTGGTTTTGAAAAAGTTGAATTTTCTACATATGAAAAAACCCATTTATCGATGATACAGATGAACTAAAATTATAAAGTAAATGTTCTTTAGGTTAAAAAAAAAAAGCTGCATTCTTATTCCCAGTCTCTGGAACAAACCGATCCCTACCCACACCACATCATTACCCCCACCTTACCCCTAAATGGCAAGGAATATGGAGGAAAAGATTGAATTTGTTTACTGATTTAAGCATGTGTGCACGCGCATACACGCACGCACACACGCACACATACACACACACACAATGTAGATACATGCCAGAGATATCAAAGATCAGCTGGTTATATGTCCTAGCACTTTAAAAGTCTTAATTCATTTAATCCCACCACAATCCTATTAGCCTGGTGACTCTGATTATCCTTTTTTAAACCAAGTGGGGGCAGAGACACCAAGTAACTCAACAGGGATCATAAGCTGAGAAGCGGTGTGCTGGGGTTGGAACCCAGGCAAGAGAGCTTTGGTGACTGTGGACTTAACCACTATATTTGTTCCCTGATATTTTTTTAATTAAGTTCCCTTGGTCCAAAGTCTTCCGTATTTGGTATAAAATCTTCATCAAAAAGTTGCCTGTTGTGTACATGGTATTTCTTACAACTTCATGTGGATTTGTAATTATCTCAATAAAAATTTCAACTAAAAATGTTGACTAGCATGATGCATGTCTATCAGCAGCTTTCTCAAGTACAAGTGAATTAAAAATTTAAGATATACACAACTAATTTTAGAGATAAAATCACTTTGCAAATGTAAAGAAATATGGAAAAATCCCAGCCATTGGTAGTAGTAGACTCAAAAATGAGGTAGGTCAAAGTCCCAGTCAGCCTCTGTCTGGCAGAAACCCCTTAACTTGTCTGAGTCTCAGTTACCTAAATACGTAAAATGGGATAGTGATATCTACTTCATTGCATTGTTAGGAAAAGGCAGGTTTGTTAGAGTCCAAAGGTACTCTCAGCCTCCCTATGTCACCCTAAGTAGAGGGGCAGTAGGGACCAGCTGCAGGGGAGAGTCTTTATGGGGTTTGCCTGTCATCTGCTGCCAGTTACTTCTTCAGCCCCTTTCTTCTACCAGTTTCCCTGGAACCCATTCCTTCCTGCAGGACCTGCTGTCAGATTGTCATGTCAACTTCATGGGGACCGAAACATCTGCTCCTTTCAGTTCAACATGCTTCTCTTTCCTTTCCCAGATAAACTGGATTTGGAGTCACATTATCTCAGTTTAAATCCCGGTTTTGCTGTGTAGCTGCTGGCAAGCCACTTCCCCAGCTGGGTCTAAGCTTTCCCATCTGTAACATGAAGTGGTTGCACTGTTACTACAAGGTGTCCAAAGCTCCTCCTCCTCTAACATTCCTGCATTCCCTACAAGGAGTGAGAAATGCCTACTCTTCCATCCATCTTTGTGTCATCCCAAGCTGCGTTTCCTTGCCATTTTCCTATCCCTTCAAAAATATTGGCCCTGGGGGATGAGAGTAATACAATTTTAAGGCTGTAATATTAGGGAAAAGGCACGAGCTGGCCAGCCCAACCTTAAAATATATGAGGTCTCCATCATGAAGGCATGAAGCTGCCTCCAACCAAAGGAATTGAGAAGATGTGCTAATTGGAAAGACTCAGTGTTGCTAAACTGAAAATTTTGTGAAATCAATTGAGAGAAAAATCAATATGGGATTTTTTTTTCCACAATGAAAAGACAAGATTCCCACACAATTAAGAATTGGGCCATGGTTTCCACACTCTGCCTGTCTCGTTCTCTTGTTCCTGTGCCACAACTGTTCATCAGAAATAATTAAACATTTTCCCATGGGCAACAATTACTTGCTTAAAATATTATGAGTAAGGAGAATACATTTATAATTACCTAACCTTTCTGAAGGTGAAAATATATATTATCCTTTGATAGAACATAGAAAGGAGTTCCTGGATCTGCCGGTGTGCTCTGCTCTATCCATCCTGATTACGCTAATTGCCTTGAGGAATAGAACAATACTTTTTTTACAGATGCAGACCTTCTCTTTCATGTTCTGTAACTTTTAGGGATCAAACCATGGTTTCTTTTTCTTGTTGTTTTTGTAAGTCATTAAACGGCCAGCCTGTAGCTATTAGGATGGCCAGATAGCATCTTTGAATTGCCTGAATGCTATAATAATGAGAGTGTTGACATCTCTCTTTTCTTTGGAGTAGGTCTTCTTTTTTGCCACATGCAGATGCAAACTATGAATCCAGTGCTTCAAGTTTTCATTAGTTTTCTGATTTTGCCTCAAACACACTCACAGTAGAAACAATAAAATAATAATCACAATGGCTGACACTCATTAAGTGCTCAGGGGCATATTTCTAAATACTTTATGTATACTATCTCATTTAATACTCATAACAATTCCATGAGGAAGGTTACCGTTAATGCTCACGTCATAAAGATGGGAGAGCTTATAGATAAGAGACCTTAAGCCCAGAGATGTTAAGCAACTTGCCCAGGATCACACAGCTAAGAGGTGGTGAAGCTGGGGTTTGGTCAGAGACTGGTCCCTTACCACTCCACTGAAGTCTGTCTCAGATTTCTCTATCAAGCCATTTTGGTCCAGTGTTTTTTGTTAACTGGCAAAGAACATATTTCCTATAAAATATTTATATAAAAGAGCTGACTACAATCATGCCTTCACATTCAAGCTTTTTTTTTTTCTAATTGTTTGGCCTCAATGTTCATTGTCAAGTTGACAAGCATATAATAATAGTAATAGTAGCAGTAATAATAATAGTAATAAGAGTAGTAGTACACTTAGTGAGTATATGCCCTAGGCTAAGCACTGATATAGGACTTTCCCTTCTTCCCCTCCCTTGTGATGTACACGATAGTGATACTGCATAGATAATATCACCCTTGGTTGACATAAAGAAACTGAGACCCGGAAGGGTTGTGTGACATAACTAGGGTCACACAGCCTATAGGTTGTAAAACAGGGGCATCAAGGCAAGTGCCCATCCCACTCAGCCAGTTTTAGCCCACATATTGTGTGCCAGGCACTTTCCTTGGCTCTGTCAATACCAAAGTGAATCAAGCCTCATCCCTTCTGCTAGCCTGGGGCTAGGTTGATTCACACATTCACCAGGTTTTGGGGTCAGTAGTTGGTAGAGCCACATGCATGCTTTCCTCTGTAATAGTCTTTTATTTTAGGAAAACTGGGTTTTGATAGCTCTTTCACAGGCTGTAAAGTTATATAACATTTTGTTGAAATTCTGCAGAGATTTTTAAAAACAGCAGTATGCATATTTGTGTTTGCATACACCATTGGTATGAGGATATTATTTTGGAACTCAGTACCTTTCTCTGATTTTGATTCTATTCTTTACTCCATAATGGCAGGCAGTGAAGCTCTGTATTTAGTATTAGCTGATTGTCCAAACTAGATTACTGTGCCAGGAATTATTCTAGGAATACAAAAAGGTTTAAAATGTGGGAGTCTCCCTCTCAATGAGTAATTACTTCTTATTTTATGAATATGTCAACCTTTCTTGCTACACTGTATGCTTCCTGAGGGCAGGGACCAGGGCTGTCTGGGTCCTCACTGTATCCTGAGTGCCTGGCACAGAGAACCCAGTGAAAAGTACACAATACACTAATGGTTGATTTAGTTGTTTCTGGAATATCTAGAGGCAATAATGTGATGGTTAAGGCCACAACCCTGTAGCCAGACTGCCTGATTTCAAGCCTTAATTCCAACATTAACTAGCTGTGTGACCTTGGGCAAATTACTTAGCCTCTCAGCTTCTTCATCTATCACATTAGGATAATGAAATCATAGTGTTTACCCCCATAGGTCTGACCTGGGGATTAAATTAGTAAATATGCATCACAGCCTTGGACAACAGGGTTTGGCACACACGCGCTACATAAGTGTTGGCCATTGTTACCCATAGTTACCCATTAGACTTGAATATCATTTATAACTTGAAAAGGACTTATTTTTTAAGAAAGAAAACCAGTCCTTCACTATCTACTTTTTTTTTTTTTAGCTTTCAAAGGGCTACTGTGCATTTTAATTTTCCCCTTTCAGGATTATATACAGCCATACAGGTGTGAGCACTGCAGGCCTTTCACAAACTTTTGTGGGGAGCTGTATGTCTACATTGTAGCAATTTGCTACAATTTGCTCAGACCAATTTATGTATGTTGTCTTTAAATTGTGTGATGTGAGTGGATAGTTTGAATGGGCTGTAAAGTTTTAATTGGTGCAGCTGATAAACCTCTTCCCTCTCCCACCCTCTACAAACCCTTGGGTGTTTCGTGTTTCATGTTTCACAGCGCATGGCAAAATTAACTCCTGACTGATCCTTTCCCTTTTGCTGTTGCCCCTTACAAACCTTTCTCCACAGGGCAGCCAGGGTGATCTTTTCAAATGCAAATCAGATATGATACTTCTGCTTAAACCCTTCGAGTTTTTTTTCCCATTGCACTAAGAATCCAATCCAGACTCTTCCCTGTGAGGTACAAGGCTCACCTCACACCATGTGTCAAGCACATCGGCTTCCTTTAGGTTTCTAAAGCATGCCAAGCTCCTTTTAAGGCCAAGGTGTTTACCTTTGTGAATCCTTCTGCAATATTCTCTCCTGGCGATTCAGGAGGTTGGCATTTCCTCATCTTTGTGGGATCAATTTAAGATGTCACTTCCTTAAAGAGGCCTCCACCAACTTCCCTACCTAAAATGAGCACATACCATATCTCCCCCTGTTAGCAGTGGCAAATCCATGCAGGTCCTCAGCAATGTCAATTCTTGCCTCCTTAGAAGAAAGAATTTGACTGAGGGACAGAAAGCCGAAGAAGAGACAGAGACAAACTGTAGAGCAGGAGTGAATGTTTATTAAAAAGCTTTAGAGCAAGAACAAAAGGAAGGAAAGTACACTTGGAAGAGGCCCAAGTGGGCAACTTGAAGGAGATATGTGGGGTTTGACCTTTCGACCTGGGGTCTTATACGTTGGCATACTTCCGGGGACAGGTGTCCCTTCTCCCCTGATTCTTCCCTTGGGGTTGGCTGCCCACATGCACAGTGGCCTGCTAGTGCTTGGGAGAGCATGCACAGTGTGTTTACTGAGTTGTATGCATGCTCAGTTGAGGCGTTCTTCCCTCCCCAGCCGGATGTCCCTAGGAGGCTGTATACAAGTTAAAACGCTGCCATTTTGCCTCTTAGTGCTCAGGTGTGAGCCCTCTCAAACAACTCCTGAGATCTTATCACAAAGGTATTGATCACCAGTTTCAGGTTTTTCCTATCTATAGAGAGCCTGCCTTTCCCTGGCACTGGCTGCAACCAATTATTATTTCAGAGAGACAGTTAACAACCTCCTGACCATCACCTGATGGTTGCCTGACATTCCTGGTGGTGGCGGGAGCCTTTCCTGCCCTGTTTATGTCTGACTAGCTACTTGCTACAACACCCCTGCCACCCCATTATTCTGTACTTTAGCATGCAGTTTATTTCCTTGTTACAGCATTTCCTGATCTTAATTATTTTATTTCCTTATATGTTTACTTGTCTCTTGCTGGCCTTTCTTGATAGACTGTATGCTTCCTGAGGGCAGGGACCAGGGCTGCCTGGCTCCTCACTGTATCCTGATGGCCAGGCACAGAGAATTCCAGTGAAAAGTACACAGTACACTGACAATTGATTGAGTTGCCTCTGGAGTATCTAGAACAAAAAAATACACCATTTGATTTTGGCTTATGCTCTAAATGTCATTTGCTAACTTACATGATTTCTGTATTTTCTCCCCTAGAAAATAAAGCCAGCCTCTGACTGGGTTGTTAGTAAATGACTGTGATATGTATTATATGCTTCTTTCAGGCTCCTGAACAGGAAAGGTTAAAATCCCCTTTAGTCCCAGAGCTATTCATATCTGCCCCTGAAATATAATATTCTCTTGAGCACCTTAGTATCTTTTGAGAAAGATGACTGTGAGGATTAAATAAAGCAGGGTGTTTACCTTTGTGAATCTCTCTGCAATATTCACTCAGAACAGCATCACAGCAGCACCTGGGAACTTGCTAGAAATGCACTTTTTCAGGTGACACCCTAGGCTTACTGAAGCAAAAACTCTAGGGGTGGGGGGTGGGGCCCAGCAATCATGTTTTAACAAGCCATTTAGATGATTCTGATGCTAATTAAAGTTGGAGAACCAATGACATAAAATAATTGTTGCCAGAGAAGGTTGGAAAAGTTGCTAAGTTCTATGAATGTTTCTGCAGTTTCAACAGTTTGGAAATACATGATTTATATCTACTGTCTGTCAGGAATTGTCCAGGGTTCCTGGGATTCACAGACACCAGACAGGGTCTCAGTCTCAAGGAATTCACTGTCTAGTGATGAGAGACTAGCAAGTAAACAGTCTATTGCAATGTATTGTACGTGTTAGAATAGAAGAAAACAAAAATAGCTGAAGAAGCACAAAGAGACTATCAGGTGAGAATCTTTGAGAGTAGAATAAGGTAAAAAAGAACAGACTTCAGAGACAACTTGCCTGAGTTTAAGCCAAAGTCCACTATTTACCAGCTGAGTGAACCTGGATAAGTTATTAACTTCTCTGTGCTTCAGTTTCCTTGCTTGAAAATAATATTAATAGTGACCTATGTCATGGGGTTGTGCTGATTAAATGGGTTCATAAATGAAAAGCACTTAGAACAGTGCCTGGGTCATCATAAGTATTCAAAAAGCATTAATTGCTATTATCATTATCATCTGATTGTAAGCAAAGGCTATCAGATGTGCCTAATTCCATGGGGTGAGTGAATGAAGAGGTCCTTCTGGGAAGGTTTGGATAGAAGACTCAAGTGTAGAAAGTTGCTACTCAAAGTCGCTGTGATTGATAGGTCCTGCAGAATCCCATAGGACGAGCTAGGTGGGACGATTCTCTAAACTACGAAAAGGATGCTATTCAGACTAACCTCATAGATGTCTACTATAGTGCTATAGGCTCTGGTTTTGTTTTTAAATATCGAATTTATACTGTGTGCTGGGTGCTGCAGCAGAGATCAAAGATAACATAGAAAAACGCTAAGGATTGAGAATGCAGTTGCAAGGGCATATGTATTTTGTTTTGTTTTGTTTTATTATATTTTAAGTTCTGGGATACTTGTGCAGAACGTGCACGTTTGTTACCTAGGTATACACGTGCCATGGTGGTTTCCTGCACCCATCAACCCGTCGTCTACATTAAATATTTCTCCTAATGCTATCCCTCCCCTAGACCCCACCCCCTGACAGGCCCCGGTGTGTGATGTTCCCCTCCCTGTGTCCATGTGTTCTCTTTGTTCAACTCCCACTTATGAGTGAGAACATGAGATGTTTGGTTTTCTGCTCCTGTGTTTGTTGAGCATGATAGCCTCCAGCTTCATCCATGTTCCTGCAAAGGACATGAACTCATCCTTTTTATGGCTTCATAGTATTCCATGGTGCCACATTTTCTTTATCCAGTCTATTATTGATGGGCATTTGGGTTGGTTCCAAGACTTTGCTATTGTGAATAGTGCCACAATAAACATACGTGTGCATGTGTCTTTATAGTAGCATGATTTATAATCCTTTGGGTATATAGCCAGTAATGGGATTGCTGGGTCAAATGGTAATTCTAGTTTTAGATCTTTGAGCAATCACCACACTTTCTTCCACAATGGTTGAACTAATTTACACTCCCACCAACAGTGTGAAAGCGTTCCTATTTTCTCCACATCCTCTCCAGCATCTGTTGTTTCCTGACTATTAATGATTGCCATTCTAACTGGCGTGAGATGGTATCTCATTGTGGTTTGATTTGCATTTATCTAATGACCAGTGATGACGAGCTTTTTTTCATGTTTGTTGGCCGCATAAATGTCTTCTTTTGAGAAGTGTCTGTTCATATCCTTCACCCACTCTTTGGTGGGGTTGTTTGTCTTTTTCTTGTAAATTTGAGTTCTTTGTAGATTCTGGATATTAGCCCTTTGTCAGATGAGTAGATTGCAAAAATTTTCTCCCATTCTGTAGGTTGCCTGTTCACTCTGATGATGGTTTCTTTTACTGTGCAGAAGCTCTTTAGTTTAATTAGATCCCATTTATCAATTTTGGCTTTTGTTGCCATTGCTTTTGGTGTTTTAGTCATGAAGTCTTTGGCAAGGGCATATATTTAAGCCACAGATTAATATAATGTGATGAGTTGTGACTATGAAAATGCACAGTGTGTTCAGAGAGAAATACTCATTAACTGAATAGAGATACAGTCCATTGTGCCAGAAGAAATCAAGAAAGATTTTACGCAGGGTAATATTTGATGGTCTTTGCATGGTGATGGAGAAAATAATTTTTTAGGTGAAAAAACAGAAAATAGAAAGACATGGTGACTCATGCCTGTAATCCCAGAGCTTTGGGAAGATCCTTTGAGACCAGGAGTTTGGGACTGGCCTGGGAAACATAGGGATACCTTGTTTCTTCAAAAATTTGAAAATTACCCAGGCATAGTAGTGCATGCCGGGGATCCCAGTGACTTGAGAGGCTGATGGAAGAGGATTGTTTGGGCCTGGGAGTTCAAGACTACAGTGAGCCAAGATTGTGCCACTGCACTTCAGCCTAGGCAACAGAGGCAGACCCAGCCAAAAGAAAAAAAAAAAAAAGAAAAGAAAAGAAAGAAAAGCAAAGCAAAAAAAGAGAAGAAAGAAAAAAAATGGGACAGCATGGAGGTATGAAAGAGATGGGTTAGCTAGAGGTGAAGAGTTGGGGTCACAGACCCAGTGGCAGAAGTGACTCTCTTTTCTCAATTTATCCACATGCACGTTCCTGATTATCCACACTTTATTCTCCAGATGTGGTATTACCCCCTCAAAGACTGGAGAGATGGTGTGCATGTGTGTGGCTGTTGTCCAAACTCTCGTTTCCACACTACAGATCTGCTATGGCTCCAGTCCCCTAACTCCAATCACTCAAACCTCTAAGATTCTCCAGAGTTCTCAGGAAGCACCCCTCACCCCAGTCTTAATCACCACTTGCTCCTCCCACTCGACCGTGGGCTCCATTGCCACTCTTCCTGCTTTCTATCTCTTCTTTCTTGTATTCTGTGTTTCCTCTTCACTTTTCAGCCTTCTTATGAGAAGAAAGCCCACAGCTCTGAATGATCATCAGCCAATCAGAACATTCCTCTACTCCAGTGATTTCTTCCCCCTCCCCCCCCCCCGCCCCAGTTTGTGCTACCATCTGCGAATCTGAGGAGCTTGTAGAAAATTTCCTGTGTGCAAGCTCACCCACATAGACTGTGATTCACTAGGTTGGGGTGGAGCCAGCACTTCATTAATATATAAAGTTCCCCAGGGGACTCCAATATACAGCCAGTCTAAGAACCAATTCTCCAATCTATGTGCAGAGTGCCTCATACTCACCGGGCCTTTGGGCTCTTCTCAGAGGCCTGTCCATAGCTCCCCTGCATAAAGATCCTGAGCTGTTCTGGGATCATACGGGGCAGAAGGCTGGTCCTTTGATAGTCACCAAGACTTTGCTGTAGTCAGGCTTAGTGACATATTCCCAGGCTTGTTACACTGTTGTCTTGTTCATAAAAAATATGTTTTAGCCTTTTAGATATCTAGTTTTGCAAATCAGTGTCAGGTATGGAAAGAATCCTGTCACTTGAACAGCATATTCAATGATTTTAAAGGTCAAGACCTGTGTGGAAATTAGCTTTCAGCTATTGGAACACACTGACTTCTACATACATAACAGAAAATATGGTCCTATGGCACGCTGGATATTTATGCATATATAAATTAGCCTGTTAGATATACTGATAAGCGACAGCTCAAGTACTCACTGATGATCATGCCCAGCATAGTGGGAAAACACTGAAAGCGCAGAAACAGGTTTCAAGGACACTGCAGTAGTAGTTCTTGATTATAGAGTGCCTACTTTACGACAGGCACTATGCTGCAAGTTAGTTTACCTCAAATACTCACCACAACCTAGAAAAGTAGGAAACTCAAGCTCGTGAAAGGAAGGAAACTCACCCAGGATAATACAGTAAAATGTGCTAGAGGCAGGATTCCATGACAGACGTTCTGAGCTCAGGCACTGCCAACTCTCCATCGCACACTCCTTGCCATCAATGACACCAATGTGCAATGGGCATGCTCCCTGTGAATGGGCACCTAGGAACAGGGCTACCCACAGAGGAGTGAGTGTAGGAGAATCTGTCCCCAGAACCACTGCCCACACTAAATATTATTTACTTTTTAAAGAGTATTACTAATTTGACAAGTAAAATATGATGCACATATTAATTTAATTTATATATTTTTTCAGATGTTGATGCAGATTAATTTTCTCATTTGTGCACTATCTGATTTAAGTCTATTCTATTGGCGATAAAACACAAGGATAGGTTTGTTTCTTTGAACAATTAAAGTAAGAAAGGGGGAAAGAATAAGCTTTTGAGCACTGATTTTATATTTATCTATCAATTAGTCATCAAGGTAGAGAAGAACAAATTCTTAATCGCCCTCACCAAAAGATTGCAAAGCACATTTTGTTTCTTTTTTCAATTGGCCAAAAATTGTGTCTTCTAACTGTTAGGTGTCTAGGAGTAAAACTGAAGTCACTAGCAAAATGTCTGTTTTGATAAATTGGGAACAAAGAGACCAAAACTAATGACTTCCACAATGGAAGGTGCCCTGGGAAATACAATATAGAACAGTGGAATCGAGGGCTTGTTTACTGTGATTCTGTATATCCATCTGATGGGGAGTATAAGTAGGTTTCTTTACACAAAGGGACCTAGGGAATGGTGGATCGGGGAATAATTGACTTGTCTCGGTATGTTTGTGAATGTGCATTTTTATCTGATGGCAAATATGCTGTTGGCCTTTGAGTCAGTCACCCACCATAAAATTTCCTCAGCCTTATATGAACCAAGATAGTGTGCCCATCCCCCCTCAAAGAAAACATTTCAAATTAGCATTAATCATCCAATGTCGTGGTCGGGGCCCTACAGTGAAAGCCACCTACTGCAGCTGAATGCCATTCAGCAGGCAAGAAGTGTTTTGCAATATAATTTAAATGAAGAGTTGGTTTCTTTTCCTATTTAGAACATACCAGTATGGAAAACTGATTGTCAGACATTCTGGTGATGTGCATCAACTTGGCTATTCACTCAGAAAATGAAGTTTCCTGAGACACCCGCACATTTAATTTATTTTTTTCCCTATGAAGTTAACTTCAGCTTGTTAAATACAATGACTATCCAAACCACAGAAAAACCAACACCATTAATTTTAATGCTCATAATGTAATGGAAGGAGATTATATTCATTTGGGATTTTTCTCCTTTTAATAGAATGTTTACTTGCCCCTCTCCTTATGAGTTAATTATTATCTTCTCTCCATAATGCTCTGCTTATATCTGAGCAGCAAACAGAGTCTGTTAATGTCTTGAGTTTATAGATTACTGGTGATTCTATCATTTTGCAATGTCTATCACTAAAGCATCAATAGCTTGCCAGTGTGGTGAGTGAATATGTGACTGATAGGAATGCAACTACTTCCTTACATAACTCTCCCATCTATTTTTATAAAACATTTAGTTTTAGCACAGTGTCTCTTCTATGCGTTGACTGGCAGATTGAAGGACTTTTCAGTAAATTATACAGTAGTGAGTTAAGAATTGGTGACTTCTGTTATCATTCGGGTATTTATGTTTAATTCATCAATTTATTCATTTAATAGACAGTGAGTACCTGGCTTATTTCAGTAGTGTGCTAAGTATTAGGGATTAAGATATAGTCCCCATGTTCAGGGAGCCCACAATTCTGAGCAGGAATTGCCATGAGGAATTGCAGCATAGGCTCAATGAGATGAGTGGTACAAAACAACTGGGTATAAAGGGTAATAGACAGTGCAATGGAAGAAGCTATTCCTGGAAA